>NC_000003.12:166584361-166735877 GCF_000001405.40 Homo sapiens | reverse complement strand
TAGTCTTTTTCTTTCTGTAATTTGAATATGCCATTCCCACTTTCTCCTGGCCTGGATGATTTCTGTTAAGATGTCAGTTGTCAAATGAATTTGAGCTTCTTTTGTGTTATTTGCTTCTTTTCTCTTGCTGATTTTTTTTTCTTTTCTTTGTTCTTAACTTTTGAGAGTTTGCTTATTGTATGCCTTGGGATAGTTTTATTTAGGTTTAATCTTTTTGGTGTTCACTGACTTTCCTGTACCTGGATATTTATGTCTTTTGCAAATTTTGAAAAAGTTTTTGTTGTTACTTCAAACACACTTTCTATTCCTTATTCTTGATAAATTCACTTTGAACATTAGTAATTGTTGGATTTGCACCTTTGAAGTAATTTTCTAATCTTCTAGTTGTTCTTCATTTATTTTCATATCTTCCCCTCTTAAGACTGTATTCTTCTGTAGCCTGTCTTTGAGCTCACTGTCTTTCCTCTGCTCAATCCATTCTGCTGTTGAGAGCACCCGATAAATTTTTCAGTTCAGCAAATGTATTTCTCAGTTCCAGGATTTCTGTTTTATGTTTCATTACTACTAATTCTATCTCTTTATTACATTACTGTGGTAAATTTCTAAACTGTGTTCTGTGTTATTTTGGAAGTTTCTGTTTTCTAAAAACTGCTAGTTTAAATTCTTTATCAGGGAGCTCACCTATCACTGTCTCATTGGGTTTGGTCATTGGTGTCTTGTTTTGTCCATTTGTGGAAGTCATGGTTTCTTGTTTGCTATTTTTTTCTGTGGACATATATCATTTTTTGCATTGTAAGATTAGCTATTTATTCCAGTCTTCTCTGTTTGGCTTGCTTTGATTTGCATTTGTTATGTTTGCATAGAGATTTCTGTGGACTATACCTGTTGAATTCCCTTTTACGGCTGAGTCACTGTCTGCCTTTTCGGCACTAGCTGTAGCCTTAGGCCCAGGTTTTCCTCAGCTTTAGCAAACATGGAATGCTGCCATGCCCATATGAGGAAGGTAACAAAAGAGAAAGTCTGGCAGTGCAGAAGGGATGGCTAGATGTTCATGCCTAGGAGACCCGTGGAATGTACTGCCTACCTTGTGATGCTGCTTAACAACCACTCTTACTTGATACCTAATTTGGGTGATATACAGAGCAGAGTTTTCTGGTCTGAGGATGGATGCTAGTCCCACTTCCACCTTTTGTCTCTGCTGTCCTTAGGAATTTTTTTCCCTTCAGGCACTTGTGATGCTTCCCTTGGGTTTAAGTAGGGACAGGTCTTCTGACAGAAAACCCAGGATGGTGGTTAAGCTTGATATCACTATTTCCAGTGTAGTAACCAGGGTTTGAGGAAAAATTTCACATGCTTGGTGCCTGGCAGATTAGGAAAAGGGCATCATGGATTTAAAAGTTAGATTCTCCTATTGTCTGCATAATGTATTTTTCACTTATTTGCAGCCCTGGGGAATGCATTATTATCATATTTAAATTCAGGGATATTGCTGATGAGAATCTTGGCACTTTGTTTTTGATTTTCTGTGGAAGGGGGCAAGTGAAGAAAGTTTGCTTCTAATGTACCACTTTAGTGACATTCAGATTTCTGTCCCTGAAAAATTCTATACCTAATATTATCACAGCTTTCTCTACCTAGTTGGATGAAAATGACCCTTTACCCCAAGATTAAATAGGATTTTGAAGGTAAAGAACTAGAAAAGTCTAAACAAATTATATATTCCAAAAGGTCATTCAATGATTTGAGAAAATTCTGTGAAATTTTACACAGAGTTCCAATGTAAGAGATCATTTCTTAAAGTATGTTCTTTAATTTTATCCTTACTACAAATCTTTAGGGAGTAAATTTATTTACATTTTATAAAACATAAACAGTTTCCAAAAATGATGCAGATAACTTGAAAAAGGACTTTTCTAGTTTAATCATCTATGTTTATGTCCAACATGTTTATGAGACCTTTTATAAAAGTAATGATTAGGGATATCTCCCTCCCCAGAGACATACCAGTGTAGTAAAGATAGAGTCTTCTACTTAACCTTTTTAGAGAAAACTGGTTAACTTTCAGAGTAAAAATAAAGATTGATCTCTCTAGAAGAAGGGTAGGTAGGCACTACAATCTGAATATTCATGTTCCCCCTAAATGGATATGTTTAAACCTAATCTCCAATGTAATGGTATTAAAAGTTATTAAAAGGTGGAGCCTTTGGGAGATGACTAAGTTGTAAGAAAATAGGCCTCATGAATGAGGTGCGTCCTACTTTAAAAGAGACCCCAGAGAGCTGCTTGTCTCTTCCACTATGTAAGGACACAGTGAGAAAGCACCATCTATGAACACAAAAACGGGATCTCACCAGACACAAAATCAGCTTGTACCTTGATTATGGACTTCCCAGCCTGTAGAATTATGAGAAATAAATTTCTGTTGTTTATAAACCACCCAGGTATTTTGTTGTTGCAATCCAAATAGACTAAGATACTGGGTCACTAAATGAGAGTTTCCTACTTACTAGGCAAAATGATGTGTACTCGTTGAAACTGTATATAACCATATTGAAATCCAAAAGATTTTACACAAAAAGCTTCTAGAACTAATAACTCAGTTGAGTAAGTTGGCAGGAGACAAGATCTATATACCAACAATGCATTGTATTTCTACATAGAAGCAATGAGAAATGGAATTTTAATTTATCTCTGTCTAGCTATCTACCTACCTACCTGCCTTTAACTATATGAACCAACAGATACATAGGGACAGGTATACCTAAATGCATGGAAGATTTGTATGCAGAATACTACAAAACATTAATGAAATAAGTCAAGGAAGATATAAATAGAGAAATATACTGTGTTCATAAATTGGAAAACTCAAAATTGTTAGTAATTCTCTTCAAATTGACATATGGATTTAATGCTAACCAAATTAATATTCTAGTAAGGTGTTTGGTTGAAGTAAATAAACTATTTTTAAAATATTCATGGAAAAAGAACAAATAAATTAGAGTGGCCAAAATAATTTTCACAAAGGAGAGCTGGAGGAATCTACTATCTAGTTTTAACACTACCAAGTTAAGTCATCTAGGCAGTGCCAAATTTCTTAAGTTATAGATATGTAAATACATGAAAGACTATAGGGGAGTTCAGAAATTTATCCATGCATATATGGTCATTTATTTTTGACAAAGTTGCAAAGAAAATTCATGAAAAAGGAATAAACATTTTTAAATTAGTGTTGCTGAATAAATTGGATGTTGATGTACAAAAAAGTTCATTCATTTGTACTTTTTATCATTTATAAAAATTAATTAATATTTTAAAATCTATGTTTGTGTTTATGAATGTTTTTTGCTTATGCATTCAATAACATATAAAATGTGAAGCAATATTTTGTACCAGGTAAGTTTACAGGTTATGGAATCAGGCCAACCAACCAGAGTACAAATTAAAATCTTCAACTCTATGTAACTTTGCAAATATAATTGATCTTTTATGGGTTTAGTTTCATTATTTGTGAAACTATTACATTTATACTTACTTCATGGGGTTATGGTGATAATTAAATGAGGTTATTTATATAAATGATAATGAAAGAAAAACGTTTACTTATAATTACTTTGTGCTAGACATAAGCCTACAAGCTTTAGATGTATTGACTCTTTTACAGCTCACAACAAATCTATAATGAGTTACTTTCAATCCACGTTTGGTATATGAGAAAAGGAGGTATATCGAAATTAAGCAATATACTTAATATTAGAGACTTAGTTAAAGTGTTAGAGCTAGAACTATAACTCAGACTGCTAGAGACTATGCATTAATTACTCTGTTCTAGTATTAACACAGTGATCCATTGGAATGAGATGTGTTTATAATGTAATACATTTAATATATAACATTATATAAACTAGATATATATTGCCTTTTGAACGCATTGCACAGAAAATACATGAACCTTTTCTTGATAAGTCAGCATTATCACTAATTCAATATTTGCAATGTAGGTTTTAAACTACTATACAGAAACTTTCTTTCTTTCTTTCTCTTTCTTTCTTTTTCTTTCTTTCCTTTCTTTCTCTCTTTCCTTCCTTCCTTCCTTCTCTCTCTCTTTCCTTTTCTTTCTTTTTCTTTCATAAACCTACTAGCTGTAACTTTATATTATAGTTTAGTAAAATCTTTTCTCTTGCAAGACTTTTTCTCATCTAGATAATGACACTTACAATGTAAAATTCATGAAAAAGTAGAGTAAGCAATTTGATATGTTCTCAACAAATATAAATTGTTATGAATTGATTTATGATCCAGTTGTTTTGTTCTAGAGGTTTTTAGAAAATTGTATTATTATTCTTAATTTCATTGTCAAAACAGTGATTGTGCTAGTCATAATTATATTTTATGAGGAACTGCTTTAATAAGTATCACATCCTGTTGCCTCAAGTGGATTAATGTAGTTTCATGTATTTATTTATAGAGGCTATCAATATGATACAGATGACACAGAGAAAAGACAGAAAATATCAGTTTGATAATGTGTATAATTCATGCTAAATCACTCACTATTTTCTATTACTCATATCCTAATGGAAATGAACATAAATATCCCATCAAGCAATTTTTCAGTTAGATGGTAGCATGGAGTGTATTCAGAGTCAGATAGGCTTATACCATCATACCAGTACCTAAAAGTATCAGAGCAGAGTTATATATGTTTGAATTGTTATAAAGAACATGTAAATTTTTGGTAGAAATGTAAGAAAGAAGAAAAGGAGGAAAGTAACTGGCAGAGTTGGAGTAGGCTTTCAATTTGCCTTTGTACATTTCTAATTATCTTTGTATAAATATAAGATGATTTTTCAAATTCAAAACACATAGTCATAATGGGAGTGGTTTTTATAGCAATTCTGAATGCAGAGAAGTCAAAATTGTGTATCAAGATTTCAAGCAAATTTTAGCCTTCTTTACATTAGATAGGCAGTATTTTGACATTATAGTTAGTGGCCTATAGTGAAAAAGTAAAGCCTTCCATGATCATCGTTTTAAGGTGATATGAAGAAAAAAACAAGTAATATTTCTGGAGGCTGGGTTCTTTGTTATTACACAGCATGAAATAGAGTACAATTAGAACAATTGGATAATATGATTGGTAGACTGTTCATTGGTTTTCATCTTCGAATGTCTTAAAATTACTCCAAGCAAAATACTAACAAATCTAAAAGTATAAATATCTGTAATCATTTTATTTATTGGGAATATATGTGTTCAGTCAGTTGCAAAATTAATTGCAATTAAATTTCTGGAAATTTCACTAGAATTGCCTTTCCTGTGAAATTTTAAATTGTTCTTGGAAGTTATGTTAATTTGGATATCAGTCTCCTAAACCTTTAAACACACTCCTGAATGACAAAGCTAATTCACCAATTGTCAACCTCAAAAAACAAGGTAAAAGAAATATACATTGGGTGAGAGAAAATGACTTTCCTTCAAATAGAATGTAAGGGTATATCCATTAATGAAGGTAGAGACAATTAAGAAAATTTAAAGTATTAATAAATTTAGAGAGAGAACTAGTTTTACTGATTTTAGTGTGTCTAATTAAAAAGCATGAAAATCTAATGATCATCTTTACTTACATCCCAGATTCTAAATGCAAATGAAGGAGTCACTCATCAAAGGCTTCTATGGCTAAACTTCATGACTATATACTAAACAGGAATCTAACCAAGAAACTCACAGCTGCTCTTGAGAAGATGCCCTGCTAAACCACTAAGACAAAAATCACTTTTTATGACCTCACCCAGTATTTGATAGAAAGAGATTAGCAGCTTGCCTGTAATCTACTCTCTTCATTTACTGGGAGATTCTCTGCAAAGAGAAGTGACCCAATCAAATTTCCTTGCCAAATACATTGTTGGTATGTTGTGGTGGACGTATCTGCATATAGAATGCTTTAGCAAGATAACCCTGGTCTCTTGAGAATTGCTTATGGTGAAGAAACCCGAAATCCATCGATTCATGGAGTATGACTTTATAAGAAATATCATGTAACCTGTAACTGTTACAGTATACAACGAAGTTTTGTGAATAAACAGCTTACTTATGTGCAAGTAATGGCTGCATACATTTCTTACAGTCATTGATTGTTAAATCTTGACCAGAATCTGTCCTAATGTGAGAAGAAAGGACCTAGAAAGCTTCTGGGTAAATGATTACATATATATACATAATCTTATTCAATTTCATGTGCACTTGAGTTTATTGGTAAAGTTTAATATAAAATAAATTTTCTAATTTGTGTGAGTCTCATTTGACAATCCAACCATGTGTCTTTGTTCAGGGTGTTCCCAAACAAATTGTCTTTCAGAACTTTGAAGTACAATGTCTAATAAAGAAGAGGGAATTAAAAATATGATGAGAATTTGATGTCCTTTGTGTTATCTCAGTTATATCCCTGTGACTTTGTACAATTTATATAGCTGCTCACACACTAAACTCTCTGTTTCATTATTGGCCTCTTGGAATAAATTTTACAATGGAGTGATCAAAATCTTTGATTTTGTTCTGTTTCAAACATTTAGCAAATACATGTTTTGAAAGGTCACTTGGGTCTAAGAAACCACACTTGTAAGTAGAGGATGAGGTAAGTAGAAATTCATTAAAAATTATCCAGCAATTTTAGTTGATAAAAAGCTCACTGAATATTGTGAATAAATGAATGAAGGAATGATGTACTATGGTGGCCAAATATCTAAGTTGATATTATGTGATATTGGAGTGAAGATGATACATTTTACTGTCTAATAGATCACAATGGAAAACCATGTTAAGTTCTAGGCATATCATTTTGAGAGAGATATAGATACTGATTTGCCTGGGAAAGTCCTATTTTATATTTATATCTGTTTTAGGAAATAATCACTAACAGTGGCCTTTTTCATTTTCAATAGTGTTCTGCTTTAAATGATGAATATAGGGTCATTCTAGATATAGAAAAAGTAGAATATGTTTAAGAGAAATCAATTCGCATGATAAAGGACTAGACATGTCTAACATGGAAATTCCGGGTATTAGGAAACTTGTCACAATTTTATTCAAGTATTTGAGAATGTTTAATAATTTATTTTCTACCTACCACAGCTGGCCAGCATTGGAAATGATTCCATAGCAGGATTTGAGTTTTTCCTGTTACTGCAACATGGCTTCCATCATGACTGAGAGTCAGGACAGCTTCTAATGATACTTCATAATTTATTCTAAAACTTAGTTTTTAATTAAAAAAGTGGTTTTGCCCGTTCTGTGATTAGGATACCATGTACAACATGCAAGAGAGAGGTGACACACAAGAGTGCGACTAATACAGGGCTTGCTATGAAAGTCTAAAAGGGTGAGATCATATATAGATAAGAGAATCAGGAACATTTTACTAGAGAAGAAGGCCTTGAAGATAGTACTGCAATGTTTGTCTATGGTAAGTAGCACTATGGGGTAAATTGTCTATATTAGATTCATAATGCACACAAAATCAGAGAAGAGAAAAATGTAGCAAACTGTTAAAAAACAGTGAAAAACTTGATCGATTAGTGCAGGGAGACATAAAGGGAATGTGACCTAGAAGTGAGGAATTTGATAATGGTGTGAAAGTTATTAAATTGTATTATTTTATTTAATTTTTTTACAAATGAAGAATGATATGAGAGTGGAAGAGAAAGCAAGTTGTACATGTCATTGAAAAATGTTCTACTTTTATTAGAACTTGAGACCTTACTGATTCCTAAGATCTCGCCAAAGGCTCAAAGTTTGTGCATTAACAAAGTTGGAGAAAAATGGGGGAGAGAGAAAGAAGAAGGATGAATTGTGCTGTGGGAATATATAACACAGTTGTTTGATTTTTATTTGACTTCTGCAACACTCAGGTTACAGACAGAAGATGCTTGACTATAATGAGCTAATGAAGATTAATGACTGGGCTCCTGCAGCATCATAATGGTAAGTGAAAATCCAGTTGTCTCATGATACATTTCTAAAAAAGGAACCCAGCATGGTGGTTCATGCCTGTAATCTCAGCACTTTGGGAGGTCAAGGCAGGTAGATTGCTTGAACCCAGGAGTTCAAAACCAGCCTGGCAACATGGCAAAACCCTATCTGTACAAAAAATAGCCAGGCATGGTGGCCCACCTGTAGTCCCAGCTACTAGGGTAGCCGAGATTGGAGGATTGCTTGAGTTCAGCAGATCGAGGCTCCAGTGAGCCATGATCAACCCACGGCACTCCAGCCTGGGTGGCAGAGCAAAACAGGGTCTCAAAAACTAATACTAAAAAACAATAAAAGAAAAAAGGCTGGGGGTGGTGGCTCACTCCTGTAATCCCAGGACTTTGGGAAGCCGAGACGGGTGGATCACGAGGTCAGGAGATCGAGATCATCCTGGCTAACACGGTGAAACCCTGTCTCTACTAAAAATACAAAAAAAAATTAGCCGGGCTTGGTGGTGGGCGCCTGTAGTCCCAGCTACTCGGGAGGCTGAGGCGGGAGAATGGCGTGAACCCGGGAGGAGGAGCTTGCAGTGAGCCGAGATCGCGCCACTGCACTCTGGCCTGGGCGAAAGGGGAGAATCCGTCTCAAAAATAATAATAATAATAATAATAATAATAATAATAATAATAATAATAATAAAAGAAAAAATAGAAATTTCTGAATTAAATACTTAGGAACGTTACAAGGAGTGAAATTTCTAGCCATACCAGTGTGACTATGATATTTTCTGGTCTAATTCCTGAGGAAATGTCTTCCACTTTCCCACCATTATTTTCCATTTGGGTGAATGTACGTTGTATATGGTAGCTACATGTTTGTGATACTTATAAACAGATGTAATTATCAGTGTGTATTGGGGTAAAACATTACTGAAAAAATTTAATGTGGAAGCAACAATATCGTACCCTTTGTATGTTTATGAAAGTGTCCATTAGTTTGTTGCCAGAGTCTGTTGTTTGACACTCAACCTCCTACCCTTGCATTCTTCCTGAAGGTAATACTGGGAAACAACTATTTGACTCCTCAATGCTACCTGCCAGGCTGGTTTGTCTGAGACTTTGTTTCCCAGCAGGTACCAAGTAGCTATTTTGTTTGAAGCTGTGCTTCAGTGAATCCTTAAAATATTTTTTTGTGCCCTCTCTACTTTCCAAACAATAGCTATAATAAAGAAGCATTTTTTTCTCAGTGATAAGCCAAGATAAATTATTATAGAAACCCTGCCTTTGGAGAAATTCCTAAAAATTCAAAACCTTTACTTTCACATCTATCCTTTGTTTTAATTTGTCAGTAGATATATATCCTCAGTATTGTATTTATGTTAGTAAGAGCTAATCTTCAAGCAGGTATTTTTAAAAACAAACATTTTGTTAAAAGAGCAAATTCTGAGAAACTCACTAAAAGTTGAACCAAGATTAAATGAAAAAAGAATAATTAATCAAGATTATTGAAAATTCTCCTTTTGAAAGTAACCTCTCACGAGATTTCTGAGTCTATGACATGTACATTTTTTTCAAGTAGGCTATTGCCACATTCAACCGTTTACTTCTTAGGCTGGCTGCCTTAACCTGCCAGATAGTAACTGGAGGGTTAGCCTACACCTGCAGGGTATCAGATTCCATACGTAGAAGAGGGAATGAAACAAAATAATTTCTGCTGAACATCTGCAGTTTTTATAAAAAGTCCAGAGTTAAGGCCTAATTGAGAAAAGGGCTCAGAGGAGCCTGACTAGAGTTTGGTCAAAGTGAGAATCTTCATTACCATTTGTTGGAAGAAAAGTTTACAGAAAGTTTACAAAAAATTCTGTAAGCTATTTAAAGAGTTTTATTCTAAGCCAAATATGAGTGACCATGGTCCATGACACAGCACCAGGAGATCCTGAGAACATGTGCCTGAGGTGGTCAGGCTAAGCTTGGCTTTATACATATTAGGGAGACATAAGACATCAATAAATACAATATACATTGATTCAGTCCAGAAAGGTGGGACAACTCAAAGTGTGCAAGTGTAGCAGGGAGGGTTTCCAGGGCATAAGTGAATTCAAAGATTTTCTGATTGGCAGTGGGTTGAAATAGTCTCGAAAGACTTGGAATCAATAGAATGGAGTTTCTGGGTTAAGAGAAGAGGTTGTGGAGACCAAGATTCTTATTATGCAGATGAAGTCTCCAGGTAGCAAGCTTCGGAGAGAATAGATTGTAAATCTTTCTTATTGGAGTTAAAAAGATGCCAGACTCATAGCTAATTCTCTCCTGGATTAGGAGAAAGACCTGGAAAAATAAGTGGATTATCTATAGAATGTAGATTTTCTCCACAAAAGACAGCTTTGCTAGGCCATTTCAAAATATGTCAAAGAACTACATTTGGGGTAAAATACTGTAAACTCTTTCAGGGCCTGGTGTTATGCTGGTATCTTATTGCTACTGTTAATCAAGTTTAGCCAAAGCTGTTTCCTCACATGCTTGAGTTTGGTCTAAAGGTTTTTCTGTACATCATGAACTACAACAAGTGGAGGTGTAAACCAACTGTAGCCCAATCACTGAGTTTCGGCCAACCAAATGTAGCCAGCTTTTTGAACCATTTTTAAATAAGGCAGACACCAAGCTGTAATCTATCCAGTTGTTTCTGTACCTCACTTTCAATTTCTGTACATCATTTCCCTTTTTTTGTCCATAAATTTTTTTTCCAACACATGGCTGCACTGGAGTCTCTGAATCTCCTGTGATTCTGGGAGCTTCTTGATTCATGAAGCATTCATTGCTTAATTAGACTCCTTTAAATTTAATTCAGCTAAAGTTTTTATTTTAACAGCTGGTGTTAGAAATGGGATCCGAAGTACAGCTTCTAGCAGCCCCCAGGAGTGGTGAGTGAATAAGCAAGGTACCTTCAAGGACCTACTTGTGTCCCTTAATCTCTGAATGTCTTCAGATCATGAATAAATCCTCTCTTAGATTTTGGAGCTCCACAGATTTGTGTTTTGAGTACTTTGAGTTTCTTTGAGCAAATTTCTGATCCCAAACTGGGTTTGGAAGTTGCGATAGGAACTGGACTGGGTCCAGAATTAAATTTGATCTGGTAATTAACTGGCTTGGATCCAGTTAGAGGCCTCTAACATCTTACTGGGTGAGAAAGAAGCTGGTAGTAAATGGTAATATTGCAGGGATTGTAAAATTTGGCTTTTAAAAATTCACCTGGATTTTTGCGTTCTACCCCTTTGTTTCATTTTTCTTGAGTGCTTAAAAAAAAAATCATTGGCTAAATTAATCAAGGGAACCTGAGAACAAAGCCAATGTTTTAGGTAAAAATGGAAATGGGATCCTTAATTTCCAAAAAACTGAGTTTCTTCCAGCTTATACATTAGGCCC
Organism: Homo sapiens; assembly: GCF_000001405.40. Taxonomy (NCBI): domain Eukaryota; kingdom Metazoa; phylum Chordata; class Mammalia; order Primates; family Hominidae; genus Homo; species Homo sapiens. Next base: position 166,724,496 of record NC_000003.12, on the reverse strand, counting down.
AGGAAGCAGCAAAGTCCTAGAGAAATGGTGAAATCTCATAAATATAACTAGGAGCAGAACATTCCAAATGAACAACAATGCACTGAAGTGCATTAAACAAAAAAAAAAAAGAGGACTTCCAAATTAGTCTCCTGTAGGGATGTTGATTCTTGAGCTTCTAAATAGATTTCAACATTTTTATTTAAATCACTCTTATTTTATTCTGGCCAGAATGGAAAATATTAAAATTCAGGTCCCCCATGCAGCTGGGTGGGTGGCAACTTGCAAAATAGAGAGGATTTTTCCTGTGGTTCCATGATTTCACTTTGTAATGTGGCTTGGGCCCTGGAGCCATGCTGTGATAAGTAGGGTCACTAGGGCTGCTCAGGGAAGGGGAACACAGAAATCTGACATGCAGGCAAATAGGTAAGAATTTCTTACCAGTCAGACTTCTGGACTCTCTCTCTCTGTGCAAACCAGTTCAATAAATAGTAAAAAAAAATCACTGTTTATCTCTTCTCTGATGTTTTAATTAATGGGAAAAAGAATGTGTGAGGCTAGTCTTAAGCTGTAATGAATATGGTGTGCTTTATTTGTGTTTGTGTATTGTTCTCTCATGAAGAGGGGTGCCTTAGGACAGAATGAGGGCTTAGGACCCCATTAGCCCACTCTTCAAGCCAGCCTAGAAAACTGGTCAGTTACAAACTTTGCCACAGTACTCTGAAAACCAAAGAAACAAACAAAAATTGGATGAGGTCTCCATCTTGCTTTATGTCCTTGGTAGCTTGACTTTGTAACCATGTGGCAGTACTTTCTTTTGGTCTCTGCCATTTTACAATGGTGGCACAGGTTCAATACTGGCTTAAGAAAAATTAGTACTTTTTGGTTAATATCTTTGTGACTTGTACCACTTGCTTACTCTCTTCCTTCCTTGAATACCTTCTGGCTTCCTTTCTTATATCTTCCTTTCTCTGAGCTACCTCTAAAGATTCCAGATTTTGCAAAAACTGCTTACCACCCCTTTGGAAATACATCTCTCATGTTTAAGTCATAACCTTAGTTGAGGCTTGTTGGTTTCACCTGTGAGATTACTTTTGGTAAAGTTTAAAAGCCAGAATATTGGCTGCTTGGCCTGGCTAAAGGCGAGTAATAAGAAATTTAAAATGATTTTTTAAAGAGGGCTATGGTTGAAAGTCAGCTTAATTAAAAGTGGGTATCCAAGCTATAGGTACCTTTAAAAGTCGTTTGTTTTTTCTCTTCTTGGATATTGTCCTTTTTTTGGAAAAAGATTTTTTCTTCTCAATCAACTAAATTATTTTGTCTTGCCACCCTTAATGCACACATGAGAGGACCTAAGATAACTTCCGATGGCCTGGGACTCCTTGGGAAAAACAGAGGAATTGCCACAAACCCTGTTTTTGGAAAAACCTCTGTTTTCCTCAGGAAAACCCAAGAATTGAAAGTCAATAGATCTCTCTCAAAGTCTAACTCTCTGTTCTGTTTTGCATTGTGTTATCTGACGTTTTTTACTTTGGTGGGTGTGACCCCTGATAATCTGAGAGAGGTCTCAGTTAATTTAGAAAGTTTATTTTGACAAGGTTGAGGACATATGCCCATGACACAGCCTCAGGAGGTCCTGACAACATGTGCTCAACGTGGTTGGGGCACAGTTTGGTTTTCTACATTTTAACAAGACAGGAGACATCAATCAATATAAGCAGGGAGGGGTCTTCCAGGTACAGGTAGATGAGAGAAAAATGATTGCAATTTTTTGAGTGTCTGATTAGCCTTTCCAAATGAGGTGATCACATACGCATTTCTCTCAGCGAGCAGAGGGATGACTTTGAATAGGTTGGGAGGCAGGTTTGCTCTAAGCAGTTCCCAGTTTGACTTTTCCTTTCAGCTTAGTGATTTTGGGACCCCAAGATTTCCAAGATTTATTTTTCTTTCACAGGATTATCAGAGATTACTTTTCATTATAAGAGAGCTTTAGTGTGTAATAAATAGGTAGGAAATACAGTTTTAGAAATGGGCTGATTGCAAAATGTGCTGATTGGCTTTGGGTTGCCATGCAATAAAATGCACAGTAAAAGCATTGCACTGTCTTCTCCCATGGCATTTCCCTCTTTTTGGGGGGTCTAAGATCTGTTTTTCTCTTCCAGCTGTACCTGCTTGCTAGCTTTAGAAACTGCATGTTTTACTAGCCCTGTTTATTGAAGGGCTCCATCCTGAGGCCAATTAAGAAAGTGGAAAATAAAAAAATCTTACAACTACTGGATCTTCTTCTGCCTGTCTGTGTAGTTATACATGTATTGTGTATGTGATGTTTATATAAAAGAGCTACAGTTAATTGGCTTAAAGAAAAATAAGTGCTTAAATCAAATACTTTGAAGAAAAATTAAAACATTGGTGTCTTTTAGTTCATGTAACTTTGGTAATCTTTTGGAAATAAAAGCAGCTTTAAAACTATTGGTAAAATAAAGACATTTGGTCTAAATTAGGCAGGTCAGATATTAGGTTTACTAAATGCTTTAAGGTCACAAATTGCTTTGACTTTAAAAAAATTTCAATTTACCTACTTTGGAGACAATTATAAATCGCTAAACTAGTTTATAACCAATGCTAGTTTGTCATACCTGTATTCCTGGAAAGACAATCAAAGCTTCTCATAAATTTCACTACCTGATGGGCCCTTTAAACATTTATAAAGGAATTTTATTCAACTATCATTTTCTTTTTTTATTTTCAAGTTTCAATTATTTATTTATCAGTGTACTCTCCAACACATTACATCAACATGATTTTATGCATTCATTGGAGAAATATTTCCTGGTTAAGTGGGAAAATTTGTGGATGGCTTCCAGAAGACATTCATTCTAAAGCAGCAGTGAAATACTTCAGTTAGAAATCTGGACCTTCTTTCTTCAGTTTGCTGTAATGCACATTCACTGAATAGAAGTTGTATTGATTGTTGAGACTCAGTTTGTTCCAGGGTTCTGGGTTATTCTTTCTGTCCCATCTAACATCTGGATTGAACAATGCCAGACCCAAGACATACAGTGACTACTACCAGGCCCTGGACTAAGTAGTATCTCAATCAATTGTCGTTTCCAATACCTGTTTTTTTGGTTGTTGTTGTATAAAAGGTTTCCCATGCAAGAAGGATGATGTTATAACACTAGACTATTCTGCCACTGTGTATTTTCAACAGGTAAAGAAAGTTTTTTATGGTGCATTGAGGACAATCAACCCCTTCACAATCTAAAACCCAAAGATTGGAACTTCTGAGAACGTCAGAGGAAGACTGCCCTTGCCATCCATACTGCAACAAAACTTCAGGAACTTGAACTTTGAGTTCATATTCTCACAACTGAGAAGGGTCCCTTCACACTCTTGAAACTGTATAGCCATTGGTACACTTAAGATAAAGCTAACCAGGGAAGTTTCTCCCCAGAAGAAGATGGCATCCTTGATGTAAACAGCTTTCCCAAGATCACAGATCAAGACTTTTCTACTATCATGAGGCTCTTATTTTGAATATCTTTTTCTTGCTTATGTCTCTATAAATAATAGAAGTGAAAAGGGGGTATGCTGTGTACACTTAAGCAGTGCACTTTTGTTTGTGAGGGAATTTGCAGCCAGCCTTATACATGGATAACTTTATACCTTGATAAATGAAAAATGAAGGCCCAATGTAGGTAAGAAACTTAAATGATACATATGTTGCCTCATAATCAGTCAGAAACAGAATGTTGGTTTACTCCTCTTAACTCACATCATGGGTTAAAGAGAACTTTGCCAGGAGGTCTTCACTCTTCTAGAAGGGCATTATTTGTTAGGTCCTCCTCTTTCCATGATTTGGAGTAAAAGAGGCAATGATTAGAAATGTATCCCTCATCCTTGAGGAATCCCTACACATTACTGGATATCTACCCAAAGGATTATAAATCATGCGCTATAAAGACACATGCTCACATATGTTTATTGCAGCATTATTCACAATAGCAAAGTCTTGGAACCAACCCTAATGTCCATCAATAATAGACTGGATAAAGAAAATGTGGCACATGTACAGCACGGAATACTATGAAGCCATAAAAAAGGATGAGTTCATATCCTTTGCAGGGACATGGATGAAGCTGGAAACCATCATTCTCAGCAAACTATCATAAGGACAGAAAACCAAACACTGCATGTTCTCATTCACAAGTGGGAGTTGAACAATGAGAACACATGGTCACAGGGAGGGGAACATCACACACTGGGCCTGTTGGGGGGTGGAGGTGTTGGGGAGGGATAGCATTAGGAGAAATAGCTACTGTAAAAGACGAGTTGATGGGTGCAGAAACCAACATGACACATGTATACCTATGGAATAAACCTGCACATTGTGCACATGTACCCCATAACTTAAAGTATAATTTTAAAAATCAATTAATAATAATAATAATAATAATAATAAAAGAAATGTATGCATCACGATAGCCCCTTTAGCAGATTCTACTATAAAGGCTATGGATGCACAACAACAGACTTTAAATTATTTGTGAAAGTTATTCTAAAGAATATAATTGTCTAAACAGCAAGGCATCTGTGCAGCCACTGACAGTTTTGGCCTATAAAGAAATACATCAAATGTAGGTTATAGAGATTGAGTTGTAGGGGATTAATGAAGAGACTGTTTAGTTATCTAGCTCATTCTTTGATTTATTTAAAATGGTTTGGCTTATGGGGACCCTGGGTAATGAACATACTCCAAATTCTTGGTATTATCTTCCCCATAGTCATAATAGTAGTATCCCTGGTGTGCTGTATTCTCTGAAAGGTCTTAAATGTTTGCATGAAGTCATCTCTAGAATGTCAAATGGTCTCTCTTCAACTGCAATTACAAAAGCTAAAAGAAATGTGTGAGAATGAGGACACCGTAACCTATGAATAACATACTGAGATTCGAATCCCAAAATGATGGCAACTGAGAGTGGCACTAAGGCCCTAAGTTTTGGTCACACTCTCAACTGAGTGAGAACCTGATGAAAAGGGGAATTTTTAAATCAAAATTATAGGTTGCATTGTTTTGGACTGAGCTCACGCACTAGGCCTCAACAGACCAAACCAAACCAAAATGGAGTCACCCACGGTAAATGCCAGATAATTAAACTAAGAATTTAAGGAAACACATAGATCTTAGAAGAGACCAGGTTTTGTTTTTCTTCTGCAAACAGGATGCTCCAGCATAACGAGGTACGCTGTACTCAGTCCTTATTTCCACTTTACAGAACCCACAGTTCTACTGTTTCTGAGAGTCTTTCAAGACCAGTGGTAGATTCTGGATATTAGCCCTTTGTCAGATGAGTAGATTGCAAAAATTTTCTCCCATTCTGTAGGTTGCCTGTTCACTCTGATGGTAGTTTCTTTTGCTGTGCAGAAGCTCTTTAGTTTAATTAGATGCCATTTGTCAATTTTGGCTTTTGTTGCCATTGCTTTCGGTGTTTTAGACATGAAGTCCTTGCCCATGCCTATGTCCTGAATGGTATTGCCTAGGTTTTCTTCTAGGGTTTTTATGGTTTTAGGTCTAACATGTAAGTCTTTAATCCATCTTGAATTAATTTTTGTATAAGGCATAATGAAGGGATCCAGTTTCAGCTTTCTACATATGGCTAGCCAGTTTTCCCAGCACCATTTATTAAATAGGGAATCATTTCCCCATTGCTTGTTTTTATCAGGTTTGTCAAAGATCTGATGGTTGTAGATATGCGGCATTATTTCTGAGGGCTCTGTTCTGTTCCATTGGTCTATATCTCTGTTTTGGTACCAGTACCATGCTGTTTTGGTTACTGTAGCCTTGTAGTATAGTTTGAAGTCAGGTAGTGTGATGCCTCCAGCTTTGTTCTTTTGGCTTAGGATTGACTTGGCAATGCGGGCTCTTTTTTGGTTCCATATGAACTTTAAAGTAGTTTTTTCCAATTCTGTGAAGAAAGTCATTGGTAGCTTGATGGGGATGGCATTGAATCTATCAATTACCTTGGGCAGTATGGCCATTTTCATGATATTGATTCTTCATACCCATGAGCATGGAATGTTCTTCCATTTGTTTGTATCCTCTTTTATTTCATTGAGCAGAGGTTTGTAGTTCTCCTTGAAGAGGTCGTTCACATCCCTTGTAAGTTGGATTCCTAGGTATTTTATTATCTTTGAAGCAATTGTGAATGGAAGTTCACTCATGATTTGGCTCTCTGTTTGTCTGTTATTGCTGTATAAGAATGCTTGTGATTTTTGCACATTGATTTTGTATCCTGAGACTTTGCTGAAGTTGCCTATAAGCTTAAGGAGATTTTGGGCTGAGACGATGGGTTTTTCTAGATACACAATCATGTCATCTGCAAACAGGGACAATTTGACTTCCTCTTTTACTAATTGAATACACTTTATTTCCTTCTCCTGTCTGATTGCTCTGGCCAGAACTTCCAACACTACGTTGAATAGGAGTGGTGAGAGAGGGCATCCCTGTCTTGTGCAAGTTTTCAGAGGGAATGCTTCCAGTTTTTGCCCATTCAGTATGATATTGGTTGTGGGTTTGTCATAAATAGCTCTTATTTTGAGATACGTCCCCTCAATACCTAATTTATTGAGAGTTTTTAGCATGAAAGGTTGTTGAATTTTGTCAAAGGCCTTTTCTGCATCTATTGAGATAATCATATGGTTTTTGTCGTTGGTTCTGTTTATATGCTGGATTACATTTATTGATTTGTGTATGTTGAACCAGCCTTGCATCCCAGGGATGAAGCCCACTTGATCATGGTGGATAAGCTTTTTGATGTCCTGCTGGATGCAGTTTGCCAGTATTTTACTGAGGATTTTTGCATTGATGTTCATCAGGGATATGGGTCTAAAATTCTCATTTTTTGTTGTGTGTCTGCCAAGCTTTGGTATCAGGATGATGTTGGCCTCATAAAATGAGTTAGGGAGGATTCCCTCTTTTTCTATTGATTGGAATAGTTTCAGAAGGAATGGTACCAGCTCCTCCTTGTACCTCTGGTAAAATTCAGCTGTGAATCTGTCTGGTCCTGGACTTTTTTTGGTTGGTAAGCTATTAATTATTGCCTCAATTTCAGAGCCTGTTATTGGTCTATTCAGAGATTCAACTTCTTCCTGGTTTAGTCTTGGTAGGATGTATGTGTCGAGGAATTTATCCATTTCTTCTAGATTTTCTAGTTTATTTGCGTAGAGGTGTTTATAGTATTCTCTGATGGTAGTTTGTATTTCTGTGGGATCGGTGGTGATATCCCCTTTATCATTTTGTATTGCATCTATTTGATTCTTCTCTCTTTTCTTCTTTATTAGTCTTGCTAGCGGTCTATCAATTTTGTTGGTCTTTTCAAAAAACCAGCTCCTGGATTCATTGATTTTTTGAAGGGATTTTTGTGTCTCTATTTCCTTCAGTTCTGCTCTGATCTTACTTATTTCTTGCCTTCTGCTAGCTTTTGAAACAAATTTACAAGAAAAAAACAAACAAACCCATCAAAAAGTGGGTGAAGGATATGAACAGACACTTCTCAAAAGAAGACATTTATGCAGCCAAAAGACACATGAAAAAATGCTCATCATCACTGGCCATCAGAGAAATGCAAATCAAAACCACAATGAGATACCATCTCACACCAGTTAGAATGGCCATCATTAAAAAGTCAGGAAACAACAGGTGCTGGAGAGGATGTGGAGAAATAGGGACACTTTTACATTGTTGGTGGGACTGTAAACTAGTTCAACCATTGTGGAAGTCAGTGTGGTGATTCCTCAAGGATCTAGAACTAGAAATACCATTTGACCCAGCCATCCCATTACTGGGTATATACACAAAGGATTATAAATCATGCTGCTATAAAGACATATGTACACATATGTTTATTGCAGCACTATTCACAATAGCAAAGACTTGGAACCAACCCAAATGTCCAACAATGATAGACTGGATTAAGAAAATGTGGCACATATACACCATGGAATACTATGCAGCCATAAAAAATGATGAGTTCATGTCCTTTGTAGGGACATGGATGAAGCTGGAAACCATCATTCTCAGCAAACTATCGCAAGGACAGAAAACCAAACACCGCATGTTCTCACTCATAGGTGGGAATTGAACAATGAGAACACATGGACACAGGAAGGGGAACATCACACACCAGGACCTGTTGTGGGGTGTGGGGAGCGGGGAGGGATAGCATTAGGAGATATACCTAATGTTAAGTGACGAGTTACTGGTTGCAGCACACCAACATGGCACATGTATACATATGTAACTAACCTGCACGTTGTGCACAGGTACCCTAAAACTTAAAGTATAAACAAAAAAAAAAAAGACCAATGGTAGCAGTAACATCAATGACTAAAATTTTGGTCAATCTCTCAAAATTGAGAAAATGACCAAAACGGGAAATTGTTAATCTGTATTAACCTAAAGCTGCCTCTGTACATATTTAAGCTCAGCCTAAACGTTTTGTTGTACATCGTGAACTATAACAAGTGGAGGTTCAAACTGACCATAGCTCACACCCATGCCAATCACTGAATTTTGTCCAATTGAATGTAGCCAACTACTTGAACTGTATTCAAATAACGCAAATGCCAAGCTGTAACCAATCCAGTTGTTTCTGTACCTCACTTCCAATTTCTGTACATCATTTCCTTTTTGTTTTTTTTCTTCTATAAATCTTCTTCCAACATGCGGCAGCACTGGATTCTCTCTGAATCCACTATGATTCTGGGGTCTGTTGGATTTGTGAATTTTTCATTGCTCAATTAAATATTAAACTCTTCTAAATTTAATTCAGCAGAAGTTTTTTTTTTTTTTTTTCAACACTAGTCTGTTCTGTTAGTTTAGGTCTCTGTTTTAATGTTAACACTGGTCAGCTGTGCCAGAATTCCAATGAGAGGAAGGCATAATAAGGCATGTCCGACCACCTATTCCCATCATGGCCTGAACTAGTGTTTCGGGTTTACTTTAGAATGCCTGTGGCCAAGAGGAGTTCATTCAGTTGGTTGTGAGGCTTAGAATTTTGTTCTTGGATTACATACTCATAGATTTGTATTTGGATCTACAAAAAATGCTTAACCCAGTGCCTAACACAAGTTAAGCTATCAAAAATGATACTTATAAAATAGAAATTAAAAATAAATTAGAATATCAAGTGACTGTACTCTTATAACTTTTTGTGTGTTGTTAAACAACACCTCTCCACCTTTCTCTGTCACTCATCATACACAAATTAAAATACTTTATCAACCGTTTCTAGGAGCCTAAGGCCACATTTTTAGGACAACCCAGCCTCCTTTTTGAGTTACTGTCTGGGAAAGCTTGGGAATGTCAACATAATTTATTGCTTGTTCTTATGAACACCTGATAATAGGCCCCTTATCCCCTTTTCCAGAGCATTTACTAAAAAGGTTTTAGTAAATTGTGAATCCTTCTTCTGTCCCTCCGAAATGTATATACAACTCTTAAAACTCAAGAATGTCTTTCTCAAGAATCTGAAAAACCATTCATTTGATGTTTAATCATTAGGAAGGATGAGGCTGCCAGTTCCCGGTCTCTGTGGGAGAACAGAATCCTAACTTTGATAATTACCTGCTGGCAGACACAACTGGACAAATTGCATTTAGATATGAACCAATACTTTGTAATTTTTCACTTGACTACTGAGCTCCTGCTCACACTCCTCCCTACTCCCCTTATTCTCTCTTGGAAATGCCTAGTCACCACTGTAGACATTGAAGTTGAGTTCAGTTCATATTGGACCATCTTCTCTTTTGCAATGATGTATTACTGAATGAAATCTCTTCTTACCACTTTAACTAGTGTTTGTTTTCATTTGTCTTTGACAATTGTCTTCTCTTTTCTATTTTATAATTGAGTAAATTATTTCAGATAATTTAAGAAAAGTCTTTTAAAAAGGTACTATTATTCCTTTTTTACAGATGAGAAAACTGAAGCAGAGAATAATTAGTAATTTGTCAAAGGTGATACAGTTAGTAGATAAACATTACAGAAACTCGTTTGTATCTAATTGCATGATGTGGGACTGGATGATGAGGTTATGGAAAAAGTATAAAGTAATGAATTACGTCCACAGGCACAGGTCGTAATGAATTACGACCCAGACTGCCAGGGTCAGCTCTTCTAATTTTGCTTGTTAGCTGACTAATCTTGGACAAATTACTTAACTGTTTTGATTTGATTTCATCATCTTTAAAAGGTAATATTAACAATTCCTATCTCATAAGATTGTGTAAAACTCCAGGGCTTATTTATATAAATCACTTAGAAAAATATTTACCATATGATATGATTTGGCTCTGTGTCCCCACTCAAATCTTATCTCAAACTGTAATCCCCACATGTCAAGGGAGGGGTCTGGTGGGAGGTGATTCGAACATGGGGGAGCTTTCCCCCATGCTGTTCTCATAATGCTGAAGGAGTTCTCAAGAGATCTGGTTGTTTGATAAGTGCCTGGTATTTCCTCTGTACATTTCGCTCTCCTGCTGCCATGTAACACATGCCTTGATTCCCCTTTGCCTTCTGCCTTGACTTTAAGCTTCCTGGTGCCTCCTCAGCCATGCAGAAGTATGAGTCAATTCAACCTCTTTTCTTTGTAAATTACACAGTCTCAGGTAGTATCTTTACAGTAGTGTGAGAATGGACAAATAAACCATACATGTGTACTCAATGTATTAACATTTTTACACCATTGCCACTATTGTTATCCTACCACATTGTTATTTTATCATTATTGTTTCTATCTTTCTAGTTTGTGGTAAAACAAATGAATCAGTTTAAAAATTACTTATAAAACAGCTTCATTATTATGTAGAGTAAGAGGGTAATTAATCTGGACATTTTCAAGATTCTGAACTTTGGTAACTGCAAAGGTAACTGGAACTTGTGTTATTTGAAGTTTTGACTGATGTAGGAATGCCACTAGATGAGAAGATGATTAATATTTCAGAGATAAGAATAACAAAGTTTCCAAATAAACTCTAGAATTTCAAGACCAAGGGAATAGAGAGAAAGCAATCTTATAGAAAAGGCTTTTTAGCATTCTTAAGGCAAAGTCCTAATATATCAATAGGCATAGCAGAATACAGGTCAGCATAAAATATTTATTTACTTGAGATTTTTCCTATACTGGCACTCATGGGGTATTCTTCAGAGTAAGTGAATGCTTACTCTCTGACTGTGTAGAGAGAGTGAAAAGGAGAGACAAATAAGTAGAAATAAACAATAGACAAATAAATAGAAATCAGTAGTGTCTCAAAGACCTGGTGAAGATCCTCTTCCTAAATCACAGGGAAGTTCCTTCTGGTGGTGTCTAAAGGAGGCTCAGACAGTCCTTGTTGCTTTCTGTAAGACTATGCACATTCCCCTGAATTGGAAGAGAAGCAATCACTATAGCTAAGCTCAGGGTCACCGTGGTTCCTTGGTCTCCCAGTTTAGATATTGGCTGACAGGGAGATGTCACATGCTTTTAGACAGCCTTGTAGTTATAACGAGGAGAACCTGCATACCAGAGGGCAAATGGAGACAAGTTTGTCTAAGTGCACATGATAATAGGAACTTGAAGCCACCTCCAATGATATCAGTAGTACTAAGAGATTAGCTGATCAAAGGTTAATCCAAAGGACTGTCCACCTCAATGAGAGGTCTACAGTGAGAATAATGAAGGGTTGTGCCCCTCTTTTTAGTTCACAATGCCATATAACTGAATCTATTCCAGGGAAAAAAAAAAGAATGGGCAAAACCTATACATGACAGAGTTTAACTTTGAATTTATAGATAAATCATAAATTTCACATAATTTACTTTTGTCATGATAGAATTCTGTCTTCATTAATTAAGCTCAAGAGATAAATAAAATTTAGTAATAGAAAATTTAAATAAATTGAATTGTCAAGAACCTTGGTTTGTGGTTAGAAATGCCTCCTTTGCTTACTTATAATCACAAATAAATCGTGTCTTTACCGTTTTCATCCCAACTACTCAACTGATGTGATTGGCCATCTCTGCAGGGAAATATGCTCTACTTGATCACAGAATGCCATAAGCTGCTCAGTTAAATTTGAACTAACAGTATTTTCTCACAATATAATATATTCTTCCTGTGCTGTGACTTCCTGGTGCTGGTTTTCTACTTAACATCATGAAAGCGTGGTCATGTTAGCCGACTTCCTGTTTAATCTTTAGAGATATTGTGTGTTATTATAACTGACAGTAGTCTAAACACATATTATTACATTAGGAATGGAAAATATGAATAACATTTATTGAGTTATTTCTTACAAGTTCTTATTATAAACTTTTCACCTACTATGAAAGGCGAGTACTTTTATCTTATTCTACCAATGAAGAAGCTAAACTCAGCAACATTAGTCTTGCTAGCCTATGAAGTAGAGTTAATTTCAAACCTATGTTTCCATAATCATGTTAGGCATTATTTACACTACAGACTAACTTCATAAGTAGCTGGGGACTGACCTTGATCCACATTCTCCTCAGGGAGAATCTGTCCTTGTTTCCCTTATACAATATTGAAATCAAACATGGAGTAGATTCCTGGGCCCCAAATCAGGCCTATTGAATCAGATTAAGTGGCCACAAGGCCTGTGGATCTGCATTTTGTTCACACCTCAGGGAATTATTTGTGGGTAAGTTTTTAACATTGCATATTGTTCTTTAACAGAGAATTTGAGATGAAAAATGGATGAGAGAAATTAAAATTTGTGAAGCTTTTATATTTTCCAAAATAAGACCCCACTTATTCTTAAAATAATTACTAAAATGTTATTTCTGCCACTACAGAATTCACAATCAATAACTAATATTTTAAGGTTGAAGCAAACAAAAAAGAAAACTACCAGAAGTTCTTGAAGGAGGCCACAAACTGAAATTTTTGCCACTACTCCAGCTCTTTTGGTGTTATGGTACTTTGAGATGTATTACACCATTACTATTTAATCAACTTTTAGAACTTTTGCAAGCCTAGTGTGGAAAGATTAAAGGTGGTTTTTATCAGAGAAAAAAATGCACCTTTAGCAAATGTAAAATATTCACATAAGAATTCATTAAATTAAACTTTTTTCATTATTTCAGCTATAGAAACTTCTTCCTGTACTTGATCAATAAATCTGTTATTTAAAATTTAATGATTATCTTTTGACTTTTCTCTACAAAATATCATTCTGATTAATAATTAGTAACTCTTATCTCCCTCTCCAGCATCACTTGTTATTTGACTCTACCATTAGCAAATCTGGTATATAATTATTTTTATAGCTACTTACTCCCAATGGATTCTCCTAAGCTATTTTTTTTACATTAAGAATATTTCTTGCATAGAAATAGAAGTGGATAATTAACATGTATTTACAGATTAAGTTAATTCTCTGAAATTTGGTTATTATGTGAAAATACTTCTGCCTTTATTATAAGTTGATGACTATAACTATATATAATCAGAAAGCTTAGATATAATAGAGGGAGTAAGTCATATATAAATGTTGCTATTTATTAATATCTTCTCTCTTTGTCAAAGTTATATGAGATACTTATAAATAATTTCACTAGCAGTCAGGAGAAGAAAAGTGCTGTTAGTTTGATTTAGGGAAAAAAGGAAGCCTCATGAAAAGTACAATTTTGACTTGACAAGTACAGAGGGGGATAAATGTTGTTTTACAAAAAATAAAAATAAACTGTATGATGAAAGCAAACAGATGAACAGTTACAAATGAGCAATCATTGGTTATTTATTTATCTGAAACACAGTGGCAGAAGAAAACAGTGAGAAATTATACAGGAAATATAGATTGAAGTCAGAGAATAACTTTCTAAGGAATTTGTATTTGACTCTTCAGATCAACATTACCACTAATTGAGCATCTATGGAGTCTGCCTTTGTGATAAGCACATTCTGTGTATGAAATAATGTCCTCAAATATCAGAGGTCATCTGCCTATTAATCCAAGACTTTGCAATTAATCCTTTTTTTTCTTTCAGAGTAAATGGAGAGTAAGAATATTTTTGAAAATAATTACACATCGATTTCTCATTGTTTATCATTGCAACATTCTAATTTTATTGCATAATCAAAATTATTGAATAAGTATTTTTGTTATATATAAATGATATGATTGGGTATACATATTTATATATATATATAAAATACATATATGTTTTATATACCTATTTAGTATGGTTTGGCTCTGTGTCCCCACCCAAATCTCACCTTGAATTGTAATAATCCTCACATATCAAGAGCAGGGCCAGATGGTGATAATTCATTCATGAGACAGTTTCTCCCATACTGTTCTCATGATAGTGAATAAATCTCATGAGATTTATTCTTGTGAGTAAATGGGGTTCCCCTGTACAAGCTGTCTTGCCCGCTGCCACCATGTAAGATGTGACTTTGCTCCTCATTCACCTTCCATCATGATTATGAGGCCTCCCCAGCCATGTGGAACTGTGAGTCAATTAAACTGCTTTTCTTTATAAATTACCCAGTCTCGGGTATGTCTTTATTAGCAGCATGAGAACAGACTAATACAGTATTATACATGTTTACATAACTATTTTATATATGTATATATATATATAGTATACATATGTGTGTGTGTGTGTGTGTGTGTGTGTGTGTGTGTTATGAGATCAACTTTTTGTAGTCAAAATTAGTCGCAGTACTGTTCAAATCTTGAGGGTCCAGAAAGATCAATTGGCTTATGAAAAACTAAGCAACTAGTTAGTATTAGTGCTGAGATTAGTTCTGAGATCTTCTGACACCTAATTCCAGGTTGTTGTTGTTTTTTTTTTCTGTATTACTCTTTAGAACATGCTCATTAATACTGCTAATTTAGAATTGCTGGGTGAAGATCTATTTGCATTTTTAAAAGGCTGCACTATATTGTTGATGCAATTTATTATCATGAAGAATAACTCTAACCAGGTTAATGAAGTCTGCAATGTAGATTTAATTGCCAAAAGTAAATATTATAAGTGTTAAATTAATGGCTTACTTGAAAATACATATTCGAAAGGTCTTTGATGTCAACTAAATAAGTGTTAGTTAATCTTGTTTTTTTGCTCATTTAAATAGAAAAAGTATTAATACATTGAATAGGTTTTCATGGCTTTAACTCATATTATCAATATTTTCAAATGTAATGAGCCATACTAAAAAAGAGAGTTTTTATTCTTTAGATACAATAGAAAAACAACATTTTTCTACTAGGAAGCTGAACAAATATTTCAATCTAGGGAAATTTTACTCTTCCAACCATCACATTCCATGACATGAATTTATAGTATCTGGAGCAGCTTAGAAATCTTCTTAATTAGAGTTATACAGTGTTCTTGAGAATAATAAAGCAATGTAATAAGCACTCACTCATGACACAGGTTAAAGATACAATTGTATTCTCAAAAGCCAACCTGAAGTAGATAAATACAGTTTTGATTTAAATAAAATCTGTCAAACCAGTTGGCTTCCTTCTCAGAAAAGTATATATTTTACATTTCAAAACATGTGGGTAATAGCATATCTATCTCATGGAGCACCTAAATTAGTAATAGCAGTAAATATGAATATGTATCTTCATATTCCTAGGAATATATGCACCATATTCCTAGGAAAAGATGAATTGTTCTGTATCATGACAACCCTCATTGCAGTTTTAACATGCCTAATCAGTAAGTAGGAGTTTTATTTTTATGATAAGTAGCCACTGGAATGATTTTTAATGCAGTTTAATCAATAAGTAACAATAACTCACCTCAATGAACACACTTTTGCCTTCCAGCCAATCAATGAGGGCTCCTCGCTTCTAAAAGTCAAGCAATTAAAAACGGACTATCTTATGAATGCCAACCACTCAACAGCAGTCTCACTCTATACAAATGATGTCAAGTCACTCACCTCTAAAATTCTACCAATCATTGGATTCCAGGCTTTTAAAAAATTCTACAAAAAAATTAACACTGCTCTATTTGGAGATACTGTGCTTGACCAGCGAAACTCTTTCTAATTTCCTTAAATAGTACATTTAGGTTAAGTTGCTATCTTAGATATCAAATAGGATTTCACTCTTTGACAGTTTTGAAGGTTACACTGAGATCACTTTGAAGACCTTTGCTTGGCAGCTTTTTAGGGAACCCTTGAATCAAGAGGCATGCACACTGGGTTCTTTTTGCCCAATTTCCATTTTGCTTCAAGATTTATTTTTTGAAGAGTCAGTCTCAACAACAGTTTGAGCTCTGTCTTGTTATTTTGGAATTTTTAGACCAATATGTCTTAGTATAGTGTCCTTAGGCCTAGAATTTTACATAAAGTAATTAGATCTTTTTATCTAAGATTTCACATGTCCCTGTTTTCTGCTGTATATCACTGCTTGTAAAATTATGTGGTTAAAATTCAAATGTGTTTAATTTTTAGTTTTTGAAGCTCTCTGTGGCTTAGCCCCTCTATTTGTGACATGAGGATAATATTCTCTACTTCACAAGAGTGTTGGAAAACTTAAATGAGATACAAAAGAAACCACTTAAATTGTTACTTAGTAATAACTTTTTATGGAATTTGGGTAATAGTCTGATTTCATATAGCAATAAATTTTAGCCACATGTCCCTCTAAAATGCTGTTGTATTGGTGTCCTATCCTTCATCTGTAACTCTAGGCAAGGTTAAGGAAGACTGCACTTCTTTCATTTTTAGATAACATGTTTACACATAAAAATTGGACATTTTAAAGTTTCTCATTCTTATTTTTTGGATTTTATTATCTTTTTTCCATATTCATTGCTCAGGCAATACACAATATATTGAGACTTAGAACTTTTATATATATATAATACATATAGTTTTATATATTTATTTATATATTTATTATATATATATTTATATAGTTTTATATATATAGCCAAAAAAGGTGAACCTGTTAGTTAAAAATGTAGAATGCAGAAGAGGTGGTGGAAATTACATATCTAAGTTCTCAATAGATTTTTCTCAAAATGGAATGATGTTTATTTACTTAAAGTGAATAATCAAAATAAAGAACACATAGTCTTTTTTACATTTTTTTTTTTTTTTGAGATAGGGTCTCCCTCTATTGCCCAGGCCATGGTGCAGTGGCATGATCACAGTTCACAGCAGCCTTGACCTCCTGGGCTCAAGAGATACTTCCACCTCAGCCTCCCAAGTACCTGGGATTGGAGGAATGAACCTCCATACCCGGCTGTTGTTTTTACTTTTGAAGAGTATTTTTGCTTTTGAATTCTTAGATGGCTAAACAGGAGAATAAAAATAAATTAGTGTAATATAAGTCAAATCCATTTGTATTTACCTTGAACTATATCTTAGTTTTTAACAATTTCTTAACAATATTTATATGAGTATTTTTGCCAATAAAGCACAAAGGAATGAGCCTATAAAATTTTGGGGCATATTACTATATCTGAAGACTGAAGTCTGGCAATGTCCTTAAGCAAAACACTCAAATATCATAAAGAAAATTATAAATTCCAAAGAATTTTCATTGTCAGAAGATGAGAATTGATATTAGATTTTCAAGTGTTTATATCAGCACTAGAAATGCTGAATTCATGCAAATTTCAAGGGGAAAGAATCACTATAAAATATATATTTTAATTTATTATGTTACCATACTATTATATAATAGTTATGCTAATTGTACATAATTTGATGTAGTATGACTTTCAAGGTAAAGTTTTACCAAGTCATTTTCCAAAGTAGCAAGTAGATGGCATTATATTATTATTCTTAATACATATGCCTAATAATAAAATTCAAGAAGAAATAGTTCTACTAAACCTTTTACTTTCAAACTCATAAGAAGAGTAAATATATCTGTTCTTATTCAATAATCTATTCACTTGAGTCCACCTGAATCTAAAGGTATTGCAGGTTTAGTGATTTTTGTGAAAAAATTGCTTTGTTAAGTAAAACTAATTACTTTGAGAAAACTACTTAACATGTCAAGTAAACTCCTCAAAATGAAATCAAGTTCTCTTTATTTTATGACATTTAAGACTCTTTAATGTTTTCCAGTTTATAATGAAATGTTAATCTATACTACAATGTTCTCCTCTCACCCGAAACCAAGATAAATGAACAAAGTAATTAAAACAAGAAAGGCAAATAGTGGCAGTCCTTACTTCAAAGAAAGAATGCTCTTCAAACCATAACCACATTATTTCAAAAGCATTCACAAGGGAAAAAGACAATCAAGGATTCTAGGAATCCATGTGTAGCTCTTACCCAGATATAGACAGAAAAAGAAGCAACAACTACGTAAACCTAATTAATATTTACATGCTTTAAAAGCTCCATATATTATGCATGCCCTCCCAAGAAAAGTTGCAGGATCTCCTGGAGTATATTTACCAGAGAAGGGGCAATATGCCAGGGTTTTGTATTTTGCTATTCATGTTAGAAGAAATCTTAAGATGCCAAAAATATTCTGTCATGATTACCAAGAGGCACTTTCAACAATAACAAAATCTTAATAAAAAGGCAAAAAAGGCAATTAAAAAATAAAAAAAAAACCAGACGTGTGTTTCACTGAGCCTGCTGATTACTGATAACCTAATGAGGAGAGCCACTCATTGGAAATTCAAATTTAAGTCCTCATTTTTTGCACCATTCAACATTTGAAAGTTATGCCTATTTTCTACTTTCTATTTCTAGAAGAAAAGTTAGTGGCAAAAGTTGTAAAGATTTGGGTAAATTGTGGAGAATAAATGTTTTTTATTTTTTATTTCAAGCACAATGGATCCAAAGTATCATCTGAGTTAGGAAAATAATCCAAATTCTAATGGTATAGGCTATCAAAATGCTAACAAAATTTATATATGTGTGTATACGTGTATCTGTATCTATGTATCTATATATATTTAGAGACATTATTCTATGTACATATACCCATATGTTTAGACATATTATCTATATAAATGGATGTTATAGAATTCAGAGGAAAAATCCAAATGCATTAAAGCAAATAGACATAATATAAACAAAAGGAAAAGAAAACTAAAAAATGATGATGAAAATGTTTAAAGTTAGGGTGGAATACATTTCCTTGGGTGAAGAAAAAAATTAATTTGTAAGGTTGAATGTTAATTTTTATTTCTTGAAAATTTTATACCTAGTTATCAAGTTGTTAAATATTCTGGTAAGGTTTTATAAATTCAAAAAAGATCATTTTTCAGTCATTCAAGCATGAAAACTTAATTGCCCATGATAAGTGTGTGTTGTATGTGTGGGAAGGCATCACTCGTAACTAGCTTGTGCTACCTTTGAATGTCTAGATGGTATAGTATTGACCAGAGGATGGAAGTGTGGCAATGGCCTCATGATTATGGAATTCACTCACTGTAATATCCAGATGCAGCTGGCCTCACAAAAGCCTGGAAAACCTTTCAAAAGACACATCTACAGCAGAAGCTTGGAAGCAACACTCCAGTAGGATTGCGGGGGAAGAGCTATCTTTCAGGATGTAGTATATATGTTGAGTAAGAAGCCCTGATGTGGTGTTGAGTACACAAAAGAAGAAATGGTTTTTCCCCCAGAAAAGAAATGTGTGGGTCCAGGATTCAAATGACAGAAGCAGCAGTAGGCCAAATTTCTATCATTCCCATGGCCCTTGGAAACACTTTGTGCCTTCTATTCTCACGGTTTTGGATTCTGCAGGGTTGGAGGTTCTATGAGTCTAAGGAGATGCTTTCTTGTCAGGGTCCTATTTAACTGCATGCTGCTGGTAGTTACCTTCTTTGAAATCCTTGTACCCAGGGACCAGGGACCTGCTAGGGAAAAAAGAGTCACCACACATACAGAGGTATTGGATGCTGATAAAAAGCAGGAGGAAAAGTTACTTTTACTAAAGTAGCTCAGGGAGAGACAAATTTGGAACAAAAGCGATCTGCTTGTGTGTTTCCTAGTATCACCTTAAATAAGTGTGAATGTACAAGTGTAGCAATCTGAGCCTGAGGTATAAGTATCAAAAATTCAGACCCCTCAGGAATGAAGGTTTGATTCACACTGCCAGATGAGCCACCAAGATCTGCCCCGATTGTAGTTGAGGGTGTGGAAATTTAAAAGTCACGTTTTGGAAGGAAGATGATTAGTGCTAGTGTAGCACCAAAATCAAATGCAGCAGTTAAAGACTATAGTTCACCCCACAAACTTCTCTTGTCTTAGGTACCCTCAAAAAGAAAAGTCCAATATAGAAGCTTCTCCTTAACATGGGTTGGAGAAGGGTAGGTTGGGGTGATCATGAAAATATGTGTCTCTGATCTTATGCTTCAGGAACCATATGGACAGATAGCCTCAGTTTCTGCACTCAGAATCTACCATCATAATATCTCAGAACTCTTGCTTTTCATGGAGTGCTTCCAAAGAATGATTAGGTGTGGCAGGAATAGGAAAACAGGCTCATTCCTGTGACGTTGTGGAATTCTAGGGGTGAAATTGGCTTGAGAATGTCCCATACATAGGTCTGACCACAACCTTCTTTGAACTCCCTCTCAGTGTGAGATTCTTCCTACTTAACTTTCTTCCTTCCCTTTCTCCTTCACAAAATTCACATGTTTACCCTGCATTCTCTGACTCCCTTCACCCTGCCTACTTGCATATATAACAGTATATATTATACTACACACTTTTCCCCTACCCCCCCACTACCCTACTTAGTCTTTGGGTACAAAAAAAAAATAGCAAGAATGTATAAGATCTAGTACTTGATAGCACAACAATGTGCCTATAGTGAATAATAATTTAATTGCACATTTAAAAATAACTGAAAAACTGAAATAATAGAATTGGATTGTTTGTAACACAAACTATAAATGCTTGAGGTAACAGATACCCCATTTACCCTGATGTGATTATTATACATTGTATGCTGGCATCAAGATATCTGGGTTTTTTGTTTGTTTGTTTGTTTGTTTGTTTTCTTTTGAGACGGAGTCTCTGTTGCCTGGGCTGGAGTGCAGTGGCACAATTTCGGTTCACTGCAAACTTCACCTCCCGGGTTCAAGCGATCCTGCTGCCTCAGCCTCTGGAATAGCTGGGACTACAGGCTAATTTTTGTATATTTAGTAAAGACGAGGTTTTACCGTGTTTACCAGGCTGGTCTCAATCTCCTGATCTCAAGTAATCTGCCCGCCTCCGCCTCCCAAGGTGCTGGGATTACAGGGGTGAACCACTGTGCCCGGCCAAGTATCAAAATATCTTATGTACTCCAAGAATATACACACCTACTATAAAAGAACTAAATCTTTTTTTTAAAAAAAGGGAGTAATTATGGTTATAATGCTATATAGCATACATCTTTTTCAACATATATTACAAACAGTGTAAAAATAATATACATAAAAAATATACCTAGAAAAGTCACATTTTCATAGTGTCACTAAATGTTTAAAATTGCTACAGAAATTTTCAAAAGAGTGTTTTAATAACATTCAAGAACGACCCTAAAAATATAAGTTGGAGATTGAAAATCATTTATGTGTTCAGTAATATAATGATGATGATGATGATGATAATTTTGATATGATAATCATGATCACAGTTCTTGGAATGTGTGCTTAATGATTAATATTTTATATGCCTTTATAAATAAAGTGTTGGCATAGTTCTGAAATTAATACTTATAAAAAAACTCAGAAGATAATTTCTAGTATTTCTCGAAGCCAGTCAATGACAAAGGTCCATTTTAGAATTTTTACAATGATTACCAGGACTAGCAAGACCTTGTCCATTGTCTTAACTTTTTCAACCTTATGAAAAACTCAGCGGATGTACAGTTTTCAGTATTTGTGATTATGACTGCGTATATAATAAAGGACACTGATTGTATTAGGTAATGATGAAAAGTTAAAATCTACCTTTCTGAAAACCCAGAATAAATTTTTGAGCATGCCAATAAAAAAGACTTAATTTCTAACATTTATTTATGATAGAGAAGAAATAGGAATTTTTTAGTCTCAGGGAAACATATGGAAACACAGGGCTTGTTTTTGAAACAACAGACAGAACTGTGATTGTATTAAATTTAATTCCATTTATCCTTTCAATTAATAGATACATATATGAAAATGCCTAAACAAAGTTTTTGCCTCTAAAATATGTTGTTTTAATATCAAAAATACTGGACAAATTGTACATTCTTTCTATTCAAACTGCAATAATGATTATCCAGCCTAGTAAGGAAAGGGCCCACTTCATCTGAGTTGAATGGTTACAAATCAGCTCTTTAAATGTATTCTAATGACACCAATATATGAGCCTGATATTCTAATTTATATTCTAGTTCTGTTGTTGCTGTATTCAAATAGTAAAGTTACTTGGGTTTTTCATCATTTAAACATTTATTTTTATTTTTAATTATTATGGGCACAAAAGAATTGTACATATTTTTGGGATACATGTGATGTTTTGATACAGGTATACAATCTATAATAATCAAATCAGGGTAATTGGGGTTATCCATCACATCAAGTATTTATTATTTATTTGTATTAAGTTTATTGCAGCATTATTCATAATAGCACAGACATGGAATCAACCCAAATGCCTTTAATGATAAACTGAATAAAGAAAATGTGATACATATATACCATGGAATACTATGCAGCCATATAAAGGAATGACATCATGTTCTTTGAAGGGATATGGATGAAGCTGGAAGCCATTGTCCTTAGCAAACTAATGCAGGAACAGAACACAAAACACTTATGTTCTCACTCATAGGTGGGAGATGAGCAATGAGAACACATGGACATGGGGAGAGGAACAACACTCAATGGGGTCTGTCTGGGGAGGGTGGGTGCAGGGAGAGCATCAGAAAAAATAGCTGGGCTTATTACCTAAGTGATGGGTTGATAGGTGCAGCATACCACCATGGCACATGTTTACTTATGTAACAAACCTGCACATTCTGCACATGTACCCCAAAACTTAAAATAAAATTTAAATAGAATAAAAAAGAACATTCCAATTCATTTTTAGTTATTTGAAAAGGTGCAGCAAATTATTTTAACTATAGTCACCCTATTGTTCTAGTGAATACTAGATATTATTCATTCTACCTGTATTTTTACAGTCATTAACCATCCTCACTTTATTGTCACTGCCCACTTCTCTGTTGCCCTTCCCAGCCTCATTCTACTCTACTCTTTATCTCCATGAGTTCAATTTTCTCTCTCGCTCCCTTTTTAGCTTTCAAATGTGGGTAAAAATATTTGTCTTTGTTTGCTTCCCTTATTTCACTCAAAATAATGACCTCCAATTCTACTCATGTTGTAGCAAATGCCAAGGTTTCATTTTTTTTGGCTGCATAATATTTCTTTGTGTATATGTGCCACATTTTCTTTATGCAATTTTCCTTTGATGGACACTTAGGTTGATTCCATATCTAGGCTACTGTGAATAGTGCTGCAATAAATATGAGAGTGCAGATGTTTCTTTGATATACCTATTTCTTTTCTTTTGGATATATATCCAACTGACAAGAGATTAATAGCCAGTATGTGTGAGGAACTCACACAACTCCATAGAGAAAAACATAAATACTATGATTAAAAAATAGGGAAAATGTCTAAATAGAAGTTTCTTAAAAGATGTATGGATGACCAACAGATATATGAAAATAATGTTCAGCATCACTAATCATTAGAGAAATGCTAATCAAAACTACAATAAGATATCATCTCACCCCAGTTAAAATGGCTTCTGTCCCCAAAACAGACAATAAGAAATCTTGCTGAGGATATAAAAAAAGACAACCCTTATGCTCAGTTCGTGGGAATGTAAATTCACACATTTTTATTTACTCTTCACTATGAAGTACAGTATGGAGATTCCTCAAAAAACTAAAAGAACTACCATATGATCTAGCAATCCCACTGCTAGGTATATATCCAGAATTTTTTAAATCATTCTAATAAGCAATAATATGCTTATGATATTTGTCATCTCATTTTAATTTTTACAGTCGATTATAGAAATTGGTAGATCCTTATAATATTGACCCTCTATAGTCTAAAGTTTGATTTAAAATATCAAAATAGAATTTGCTAGTATATTCACTTGAGCTTAGTAAGATAATTGTTTTATTCTTCAATTCCTGCTCAACAGATTGAATACTCTGCAACATCAGGGAACTGTTACAACTGGTCATTGTGGGTAAAAGCCATCTCACAGGAAACAACGAAGGGGGAAATCCAGAGGTGATTCTTCGGCAAGAATACAGACAAGGAGCTTATCTGATGTTCATTTCATTGATTAAGGTTTTGTTTCACAAAGTTATAATGATTTACCACTTGTCCTATATGAAGGACCTAATAATTTATCACATAGAGGAAGACAAATGTAGATGAATGTGTTGACGATGTGGGAAGTGCAAGATGTACACTTTGTATTATACAGATATGTGATCTCTTTTGAAATTCACTTAGCTAATGGGATCTTCTGTGTCTGGAATCTGGGCAAGAAGCAAATAGAAAGTGAAAAAAGGAATTCTATGATTGAAAATAGCTATCATTTTTATTATTGTAAATTCTACCCTCTCCCTCCAAATATGTGGATAGCTATATTACAGGACAACTGTTTTTTTTTAATTTTTTTAAAATAAATATTAAGTAATAAATCATGGCACAAAAACTGTGCTGATACTTCTTAGAACTTCCCAGTTTATAAAGTTGCCATGCATAACAAAAATGTTTAAAGTGTCATGCTTTTAAAGATATTTTATTTGTTTATCTAAAACATAGTTTCCATAGACCACAAAGAAAACTATGTTTTTAATAAATTAATAAAATATTGTCCACTGAGTACCGGAAATTGAGAAAGCACATTGACAACAAACAAGAAGCCAGCATGACATATACATTCTTACAAATAAATAAGATAATTTCAGATAACCATTATGTTCCAAGCACAAAAATGATACTGTGAGACAGACTAACTTTATTAGGATGTTCTTTAATATAAAGGGATCAAGGAAAACCTCTTAGATTTTACATGTTTTGACCTCTGAATTAAAACCTAAACAAGTGGTAGTAATCCATGAAAAAACTTGTGTATACTGAATTCTGAGATAGTGCTCTTTCAATTAGATCTGTTTGTTTAAAAATATAAATATGGATATATGTACTTATTTATTATAAACATGTACTTAATGACTAAACATATTTTTAAAGTATTAGATTAAAATGAATCATTTTTTCAATAGCTTGTGGATGAGAGCTTACAATGTCATTTCTACAATTTAAGGCATCACAATACACATGTGATGTGAAATTCATTGTTAACAACAGTGGTTATAAATACATATTTAAAATTGTTTCCATGGGGATTTCTAAATTAATGACTGACATCAAATCTAAATACATTATTATTATGTATCTAGACATAAATGCATAAAAATACCTCGCTGTGTGCCTGAAACACTTGTACAAGTGTTGTAGCTGGTGTCAGATCACCTTATTTTTCTTTCTCACCTCTGCTTGTTTTTTTCAGATGCATTCAATTTGCAGTTTCTTTGAGGGAATTTTTTCTTACCCGTATGCCTATTTTGTGAGAGTTAGTTTAGTTAAAACTTGATAGTATACTTTCCAAATCTACTTAGCCAGGCATAGGAAACCCTCAATACAGTGTAACACAAGTCAAGGCCGAGAAACGGAGAGGTTGCTGCTGTCAAGCCTCCAGTTCCCCAGAACTTCCACCCCTACTTCTTGATACGTCACACAGCCCACATGACATGTGAGATACCAGGCACAGACCAAGTGAACGCCTCAAGGACAACCTGTATATTAAGTATAGTAAAGGTTTATTTCTTTTAATTTTTAAATTCTGGATTTAAAAATAGAAATATAAATTCTATTATCTATTTATCTCAATGGATCATTTTGAATACTCCCTGAGCTGCATGTGTGTACCTCAGAAAGATCTGTTCACTTCATATTTGGACTGGAGCGGGGAGCTAAGGCAGCTCTCAGACTAATGGATATTTTTACTGAAGAAAATGCCTTGTCTCAAAGTAGCTACATTTTTTTATTGCATCCTTTATCACAATACAGCTGAAAAACCCAGGTTAAAGATGTTGCGACATTCTTGGTCAGCCAGAATATATTTAATAATGATGGATTAAGGAACTGCTAAAAGAAAGAACAGATAATTGAAGTGTCTGTTAGGTAGATAAAAGCATTAATTCTGATAAATATCAGTTACATTTTAGTTCCTATCCACATAACTTAATGGTAAGTAGTATAATACATAAAGTAACTTTTTTTCTAAAAGTAAACTTTTACCATCCAAGATCTAAATGCAGAGTATTTTACATTATTCTCGCAGTAAACAAGGGCTAACTAAAAAAAAAAAGTCCTTTAAAGGTTTAAATGATCAAAATGATCATAACTGTTAACATTTCTATAGTATATTTCTCTAAGAGAAACTTCTCTCTTTAGGTAATATTACTATTATGATGGTGACATGTCATTAAATTCACATAGATGCTATGCCTTTCATTTGTGGAATCCCTCCTTATAATTAACATAGAGGAAAGAAAAGAGAAGACGCCCCCTTAATCACAGGTTAGTTCTGTAGTAACTACATTATTGTAACATCAAGGAATCATTCAGAACACTGAAAGCCAAATAGCAAATAATCATATTTTAATCCTCAGCTACTAATTCCCAAGTATTAATAAATATTCTCTGCCCTTAAGTTGTCCTCCCTTCTTTCTATCCCCAAAATGCTGAGTGGACAACATTTTTTCCTAATGCATTGACAGATCTTATCACATCCTTTTATTTATTTATTTTTTATGGGAGTAGGGTGCCAAAATCCAGTTATATAAGAGTTTTGCATCACAAAATACACAATCCATCTATAAATCATGGCATGGACTATAATCCCTTGTGAACAGAATAGGAAGAAATAAGACCAAAATATGTGGAATACAGAGAAATATAAAATATGGATTTTAAAAATGCAGTCATGAGCAAAATATATGACTGCATAAGATAGTCAAGTGTATTCAACACAGTTCACAATACATGACTGTGTAAGATATTCAAGTGTATTCAACACAGTTTTTCAAAAATTGCCTCTAATACATGTAAAATGTAAATGGTGTGCTGAATTAGGTACTTACTAAGTTTATTACTATTGTTTTACTGGTTTTAGTATAAATTATTAATTTTAACCCCTTCTTTCTCACCTGCATTTATTTAGAGCGCAATGCAAGTCAAAGCTATAATTCACTCTGATTAATACATAGCTCTATATTTTTATGCTGGAACTCTGTTATATTAATATTCTTCTTGCATTGCATAGAGACTTTCAGGCATTTCATCAATAACATATTGTTTTGACTTCCTATATAAAAAATAAGGTAGACTCAGGAGGACTATTTTCCTATTCCTATTCAGTTTGGATTGATATGGGTAAATTATCATTTTTAAAGTACTATTTGCTTACCCTAGCAATGCTTTTCTTGATGTTAAATGTTAGCAATATTAGAATTTCATAAAAATTAGAATTTTATTAAAATGAAGTAGCCTATTAAATTAAATATATAATTGTGCATTTAAGTGCCATAGCAATACTCTTTCCACACGTACACAAAGAAACAGAAGGTTGATGGACTTATAAAAAATTTTCATTCATGGTTAATTTAAATATAGTCTATGTTGCTTTGCATGATAATAGACACACTTGTTATGACAAAGTATCAGGGTTCAATAATTTTAAATTGATTAATATTTCATACAGTCACATTTCTATTAAGACAGTTTTTGAAGGTAATTATACAGGACCTAATTATAGTTTATATATATTATATATTATACACACACACAAAACACACTTATCTGTATTCAGTAAGAAATAAAGAATTTGGGGTTGATTTATTGCTTAGATTACTGAAACTCATCTTCATTGAAGGCCAAATTTTATTATTTATTAAGAAAGTGAGATTAATCACTTTAATTGCAACTAGGGTTTAAAAAAACAGCCTACCAGAAGTCCAAACACTAGGGCAGAATAAACTTTATAGTCAGAATAGATGTCAGGTTTTTATAAAAGGAAATTTCTACATCATGAAAAATCTCTTCCTAGCTCTACATGTGAGAGCTTTACAGTTTTTAACTGAGTCAGCATTCTTACTAGGTAACATTGCTTGAGCCTTAAAGTGCTAACATTCTTGAGAAAAATATTGACCTGTATTTATGAAAAAGTAAGAATAATCGACATATCTGTTATCGTGATCACAAGGTATTGATGCAAGTTTTTAAAGGCATAAATGCAGGAACTGGAAAGGCCCTTAAAAAAAAAAAAGACTGGGTAAAACAAGACTGTGTAATGAACATATTTGCCCTATCCCTAACCCTGACACAGTGGTGCTGAAGGGGTGAATGGAGCTAGGGGAAATGAACTATACAGAAAACCAGAATGGGTTTAAGATAACAATACATATTACATCAAGAATTTAAGTAACTTGTAAGTTAAAAATAAATCATATGGCTCTGTTAGAGGATGGAAAAAAGAAAATTATCAACTTAAATTTTCTGCTTATTCTTTCAGTATCACACAGTTTCCTCGTGGACTTTATTTTCTCTTTGTTTCACAGATTTTATTAGTCATTACTTGGGAAGTAACTCTTTATCTCATAATGATTATTAGCAAGATCAATGTAGTATTTATTTCTGTTTTACGCCTTGAGATTTAGGAAATTGACAGATTTTGTGAATAACACTAGCTTATATTCTCCAGGGCTCTCTGTATGTTTCTGTATATTTATGTGTAATACATCTGTTGCAGTATGCAGCTCCTCTCAGAACCATTTTCTAGTTTCTGCTCAGCAAAAGGGTGAAAGGAAAACAACTTAGAAGACAAAAATGAAATTGTTGCCAGGCTGCAGCTCTGAATGAGACTTGGAGCCTCCTTCAGTTTTTTGAAGCAGCATGTGTCAAACTTGTGATGAATCAGATTTTTATATTCAGAATCAGAATCAGTTGACACAGCTGATGTCAATGCTTTGAGGGTACAGTGCAAGATTCCTGTTTGCGCTGAAACACTGAGCACTTCCATTGGAAATTTATTTACCTAAAACAATTGCCTCACCTGCAATTGAATGCTGGGTTGCAGACATCCAGGAAACCTGCATTCTTTCTTAGAACAAAGGCAATGAAAAATGTGATGTGACCTTTTTTCTTTCTACGAATTGCCTCTGAGAGCATATGTACCTATTAGTTTGCTGCCACCTTTCTATGTCATCAAGTCTAGCTGCTCAAAGCCCTGTGTACATCCGTTTTATTAGAAAAAATAATTCTTGAAATAGAACACCATGTTAAACTATAACATTTTTCTGAGGGGATTAGGTGAGGGATTTTAAAAAATTTATTTAAAAGGGCTTACATTGAGGAGTGTGTATGTCCTCTTCTATTTGAAAGAAAATCGATCATATTCAAGGGTTTCTGTGGTAAAATTTATTCAAGGCTGGGCAAGGTGGCTCAGGCCTGTAATCCCCGCACTTAAGGAGGCCAAGGTGGATGGATTGCCTCAGCTCAGGATTTCGAGACAAGCCTAAGCAACAAGCCTAAACCCCATCTCTACCAAAAATACAAAAATTTAGATGAGCGTGGTGGTGCGTGCCTGTAGTTTCAGAGCTACTTGTGGGGTTGAGGTGGGAGGATCACCTGAGCCTGGGAGGTGAGGTTGTAGCGAGCCTAAATCTCACCACTGCATTCCAACTTGGGTGACAAAGACCCCGTCTCAGAAAAAAAAAGAAAAAAGAAACATTATACAGCAATGTGCTAAGCAGGGCTATGTTATTGTCTAACCATCTTATTCTGAAGGTTTTTCTATGGAATTGTTCAAGTATATAATGAAATTGGAGTTTCTCATGTGTATTATAAACAGACATACCTATATGAATCATTTAAAAAATAACTTTATTATCATGCTTCTACAGTACCCTAAATTGCCAAGGAAATTCTCATTTGTAGTTTGTGTTCGGCAGTTAAAAATCTCTGATTTAAAGAAATTCTGACTCTTGCCCAGAGATTTAAAGGAATAACTTGAACTTAAAGTGATTTTTTATTCTAGATTGAAATTATACTTAACCGTAATACAGGTATACATGGTAAATACCGTTTTTCAATAATAAATTATAATGTGTAAGTAAATAATAAAAAGCCGCTGAATACATACACACATGAATGTACATGCAAGGAACTTCATCTTCTAAGCCATCAGTTTCAAGCAAAGTAAGTGATAATAGTTTAAACTTACAGTTTTACAGTACTATACTTTTAAAAAATAATTTAACCATTTTAAACCCACAAAGCACACAATACCTTTATATATTTAAAAATTGTTCATCTTGATTTCCTTTAGTTAGTAATTACCATTGTTTGTAATTCTTTAAGTAATAATATGTCAGTAATTTCCGTTAACATTGAAAATTGAATCAAAATGAACTTCAGAAATATCGCAATAACATAGTACCTATAATGAATAAATATTTATATCCTAAGAAAAGAGAAATAGAGCTGTTAATTTAGATTAGAATATTCTAAAATATTAACAGTTAATGTAAACCATATGCTATATTATTACTGTTTTAGTAACTATGATAAGAAGCTATGGTGTGGGGTTTTACCAAGGAATTCTAAATGAAATGAAGAAAATGTTAAGAAATAAAGATCAAACTGGACAATGGATCTCAAGGAACTTTTAATTTATTAAAAATTGAACAATAATTATTGATAACCTGACTAATATTAAATAATTCTTAGCTAAAATATCTTCCCAAGTTATTCTTTATCACATCACCTGGTTCGTTTACTACTTATTATAATAAAAATATTTCGTATATTCTGAAATAATGATATTTTGTTTTTTAGAGTTTTTATTTTATATCTTACTGTTTGCCTCCACATGGGAAATAAGTTGCATCATGCATATTTCTGTTTTATTTATATACTTTTGAATCAATGGCACTTAATTCATGGTCAGACACAGAATAGGTAGTCAAACATTGTAATGAAATAATTAATGACTGCATTAATTATGTAAAGTTCCCTGAACATGCTCTTGGAAAATAATGCAACTTTGTTTTTAGCGTAAGAGAATTTCAATTGCCTGCCTTTAATATAATCTGGATTTGTAACATATATGGCAGATATGTATATCTTAACTTTGGTATTCTACCTGTATTTATTTCATTTTCTTCTCATATTCAAGCCAGGCTATTGTTTTCATTCTTTTTTCTTGTTCAGGCATTTTGTCATGCCTCTATTTTCGTACTTTGAGGTGATTTGTGTTTTTAGGATTTTTATTTCTAAATGCAAAGTGCAATTGGGGTGGGGAAGACTAGTTTTTAAGAGAAAGACAGAGTTAGCAAGAGAAAGATCTACTATAAATTCATGGATGCTGTGATACTCAGAGATACTCTTCAGAAATAAGATTTATTGTTCAGTCCTCTACTCTCAGCACTCTTTAGGAATTGTTTCAGTTGAAGAGAGTCATCTGTCCCAGGGCCTTAGCCTCTCCATACTATTTGTGGAACTCTTCACATGGTTTTATGAGGTTTCCTTTAAGATCACTTGATTTGTCTCTTTGTCCATTCATTTTTTCTTCCTCTCCATTCTAGAGGAATTAATTCAAGCACACTCCAAAATATAACGACTATATGCAAAACTTCATTTTACACTCTGCTTGCAGGGGAAGCCAACTTGGAAATGTTAACACAGCATTTTTGTCAGAAAGAAAACACTTAGGTGAGATTTTGAACTGGATTAAATACCTCCCATCTGGAAATGAGGATTCCATAAGCATGGTGTGGAGCAGAGAGAGCTCCCGACAAAGGTAGCAGTGCAATTGTTAACATGCTCACCTGTGATAAACTGGGATGATATAATTGGTGGGGATATGCGAGCTAGGTATTCCATCAGTCCTTGGAGAAGTATAGGGGAAATAATAACATTGAGTACAATAGAATTGCTCAGTTTAATTACTTTGGGAAAAATAACAAAAAACAGAGCAATTAATTGGCAACTAATGCTAACTGTAAAGGTAAAACCAAGTCTTCTTATTATTGTACAAAGTAGATCTCATCTTCTACATTGGGTAGGAAGAGAAAGCTGAGGACCAGGGCCCTGCTTAGTTGTAAGAACACTTGACCTCTAAAGAAAGTCCCATGGTTAAATATTCACACAGAAACTCTGGGAGATGGGGCAGAAACACTGGTAGAATGGCTTCTAGAAATATGAAAATGTAATAGCATATACAGACTGTAGTAAGCAGAATAATGTCCACTAAAGATATTCTAAGATCCTAAACCTTTAGTATGTTTGGCTATATTGAAAAGGAGAATTAATATTTCAGACAAGATTAAGATTGTTAGTAAGTTGACCTCTAAATGAGAGGTTATCTTAAATTACCTTGGTAGGCATAATGT
Source organism: Homo sapiens (assembly GCF_000001405.40). Classification (NCBI taxonomy): domain Eukaryota; kingdom Metazoa; phylum Chordata; class Mammalia; order Primates; family Hominidae; genus Homo; species Homo sapiens. The sequence goes on along the minus strand of NC_000003.12, from coordinate 166,691,991 downwards.
AATCACAAGAGACCTTAAAAGTGAAAGAAGAAAAGCAACAGGAAGATTTCTTAAAATGCTTCCAGTTCAAGTTAGAATTAAGGTGAACATTAGGTCCCACCAGCTTTACAGAGCTGTAGATGTTTTGCTGTTGTTCCTTCAAAAAAGAAGAATCTACAATAAACATGTTCATTTGAGAAAAATACTGTGTTTGTTAACTTTTTCTAGCCATCCCCAATTTACTTTAAACTTTGTATGTTGTTCAAGAACAGAGTATATCCTGGTTAGGATGTGTTTGTAGCTGATGCATCTCCAAAATTTTTTCATGAAGGCGGCTAGCTTCTGAACATCTTCAATCGTGACAGCATTATACAGAGAGGCCCAGATGCCTCCCACAGACTTATGCCCTTTCAAGGACAACATATTGAGTTCAAGAGCTTTATCAAGAAATCTTTTTTCTAAAGCATCATCTCCTTTGGCATTGCCAATGCAGAATGGAATATTCATCTTGCTTCTATTTTGGGGCCCCACTGGACATATGTAGAATCCTTGAGAATTATCAATAATCTCATAAATCATTTGAGATTTGATGGAGCTACGCTTCTCCATGGCCGCAACACCTCCATTGTTTTTAATCGACTCCAGGACCAAGCCCCTGACGTAGATGCTGAAACATGGAGGCATGTTGTACAAGGAGCTGTTTCCAGCCTGCACCTTGTATTCCAGGACTGAGGGGCACTCTAGGAGGGCAAATCCCAGCAGGTCATCATGGACAATCTCCACGGTGACCCCAGCAGAGCCAACATTCTTCTGGGCACCAGCAAAATGCCTTTGCTGCTACTTTTTCTAGTTAGATTTCAAACTTCCCTGTGGACTTCATAATGTAAGTTGCAATTAATTGTTTCTGGAGTCATGGGAACACACAGCATAGAGGGTAGGTGGGGCCGTCTAGGTGCTGAATCTAGACATCTGTGGAGTCTCCTGGGTTCAGTGGCTGTTGATTCAAGGTCAGCATTGCCCATTGGAGGAGTGGTTTAAGAGTACCAGGCAAAGGGCAAACTGTAGATCGATCTTTATACTGTTATTACAAGAGAAGATACATACTTTATGTATGTTTACATTAGCAAGGTCGGTTTTTAATACCATATACTTTATGTTTCTATACATTTATATTTCTAATAATACGGTTAACACTGATACATGTAGACACTTTTAGAAGTTATTAAATCCTTGACCTTGTGCATTATTCCATTAGCAACAGTTGCAACCCCTCCCCAGTCTTCCCCTTCTTCTTTTTAAGCTGTTTTATGAAAAAGATCCAGAAGTTCTTGATTCATTTTTATCATTCTTTCCATAGGTAGAAGAGAAAGTTGACTGGTTGGTTGTTTTTCAATTATGACATTAAATTAAATATTTCTGTTAAATTACCTTATCCTTTGTTCTCTTGACTGTTTTCTTTGTAATGTTTGACGACGAGAGTGATACTTTGCTGAAAAGTCGTTCCCCTATTGTTTATCTATTGTCAGTATTTTATGTTGAATATGTAAAGAACATTAAAGTCCTAAAACATCTAAAAAAAAAAAAAGTGAAAGAAGAAAGAACCAGACAGATGGCAACATGGGAATTTGGGCAATGGTGCTGCTGAGTTATGAGCCAAGACATGCAAGCTTGCTCTTGAAGTTGGAGAATGCAAGAAAATGTATTTTACTAGAGCCTGCAGAAGAATGCAACCTTGCCAACACCCTGGTTGTAGCCCAGTGAGACCCTTTTCAGACTTCTGACCTCTAGAACTGTAAGATAAATTTGTGTTGTTTTAAGAACCCAAAATATGTGTAACTTGTTATAGTAGCAGTAGGAAACTAATAGACTTACTGAGGTGCCAAGGTTGCTGTGGCAGATGTGGCAGAAGGAATTAAAAAGCAACAATTTGCTTGCAATGATATTCTGTGTAAGATATCAGGAGTTTGGTTTGAGACTCTTGCAATAAAGTAAATATCAAAATAAGGCCAGTCACAAAGAGCATTTTGATTTTTAAGTGCATATAAAAGTTATGTTGAGTAGGTACACATGGACACAAAGATAGAAACAGCAGACACTTGGATTCCTATAGTTGGGAGGTTAGGGGAAACTGAGTGTTGAAAAACTATCTTTTGGGTACAATGATAACTATCTGGGTGACGGGTACACTAGAAGCATGAACTTCACCACTATACCAGTATATTCATGTAACGAACCTGCACATGTATTCTCTGACCCTAAAGTTTAAAAAAAGAAAAAAAAAGGTTAGGTTTATACTACACTGTAGTCTAAGTGTGCAATGGCATTATGTGTAAATTATGTACATATCTTAATTAAATTTCATTGCTAAAAGATGCTAACAATAATCTGAGTCTTCAGCATATCCTAATATTTTTGATGCTGACTGATCAGGGTGATTGTGCTGAAAGTTGAAGCAATTGTGGCAATTTCTTAAAATAAAATAATGATATTTGCAAAATTGATTTACTCTTCCATTCATGAAAGTTTTCTCTGTAACATGTAATACTATTTGACAGCATTTTACCCACAGTAGAATTTTTCAAAATTAAAGTCAATCCTCTCAAATCTGCTTTATCAACTAATTTGAGGTAATAATATTTTTAATTCTTTGTTGTTGTTTCAATAACGTTCACAGCATTTTTACCAGGAGTATATTCCATCTCAATAAACCACATTCTTTGCTCATCTATGAGAAATAACTTCTCATGGGTTCAACTTTTATCATGAAATAGAAAAAAGTTCAGCCATATATTGAGGCTCTGCTTTTAGTCCTAATTCTCTTGGTATTTTCACCACATCTGCAGATATTTCCTCCACTTGAACTGCTCAAAGTCATCCATGAGGATTGGAATCAACTTCTTCCAAACTCATGTTAATGTCATATTTTGATCTCCTCCTATGAATGAATCGCCAAAGTTATTAATGGTACCTACAAAGGTGAATCCTTCCAGAAGGTTTTCAGTTTCCTTTGTCCATATTCATTGAAGGAATCATTTCTTAAATAATAAGATTTAAAAGTTGAAATTACTCCTCAATTCAAGTGCTGCACAATGGATATTGTGTTGGCAGGCATGAGACAACATTAATCTCCTTGTGCGTCTCCATTAGAGCTCTTGGGTGATGAGTCACATTGTCAATAAATAAGTACTCTTTTAAAAAGAATCTAATCTAAAGGAGCAATAGGACTCAACAATGGGCTTAAAATATTCAGTAAACCATGCTGTAAATAAATTAAACATCATCCAGGCTTTGTTGTTCCATTTACAGAGCAGAGGCAGAGTAGAGTTATCAGAATTCTCAAGCACCCTAGACTTTTCAGAAAGGTAAATGGACATTGGTTTTAACTTCAAGTCACCAGCTGCATTACCCTGAAGCAAGAGTTAGCCCCTCTCTTTGATGCTTTGAAGATAGGTATTGACTTCTTAGCTATGAAAGCCCAAGATGTCATCTTCTTCCAATAAAAGACTAATTCATTTACATTAAAAACCTGTTGACTTTTGTGGCCACCTTTATTAATTATCTTAGCTAGATCTTCTGGATAACTTGTTGCAGCTTCCATATCAGGACTTGTTGCTTAACCTTGAATTTTATGTGATGGAGATTGCTTCTTCCCTACTATCTTATGAGCCAAACTCTGTTTGCCTCAAAGGTTTCTTTGGGCAGCTTCCTTACATTTCTCTGCCTTCACAGAATTTAAGAGAGTTAAGGCCTTGCTCTGGATTAAGTTTTGGCTTAAGTGAATGTTGTAGCTGATTTGATCTTCCATTCATACCACTACACTTTTTTTCCATATCAGTAATAATGTTGTTTTTCTTTCTTATCATTAATGTGTTCACTGGAGTAGCACATTTAATTTCCTTCAAGAATGTTTCCTTAGTATTCACAACTTAGCTAGCTGGCAAAAGAGGCCTACAGCCTATCTCAGTTTTCAACATGCCTTCCTCACTAAGCTTAATCATTTGTAGCCTTTGATTTATTGGGAGAGAAATGCAACTCTTCCTTTCACTTGAACACTTAGAGGTTATTGTGGAATCACTAATTGGCCTAATTTCAATATTATTGTGTCTTAGGGAGTAGGGAGGCCCAAGGAAAGGGAAACAGACTGGGCTATGGCTAGTCTATGGAGCAGTCAGAACACATTCGATATTTACTGATTAAGTTTTCTGTCTTACATAGGTGCGGTTCATGACATATCAAAACAATTACAATAATAGCATCAAATATCACTGACCACAGATCATCTTAACAGGTAATAATAATAAAAACTTTGATATATTGCAAAATTACCAAAATGTGACACAGAGACACAAGTGAGCCTAGGCTGTTGAAAAAATGGTGCCTATAGATGTTCCTGATGCAAGATTGCCATAAACCTTCAATTTATAAAAAAGGCAGTGTTTGTGAAGCACAGACAAGGTCTACTTATATGTTAATGAGAAAGTAGCATCCTTACTAACAAGTTCACTAATTGCTTTTTTTAACATCAGGAAATAACTTGGCTCTCTGAGAGCAAAGATTAAGTGCCATCATTTGACCAAAAAAAACAAAAACAAAAAACAAAACAAATAAGTTATCTGGTATCTGGTGGTATTCAAACATCAGAAGTCAGGCTGCCTCAGTTATTGTTATTGGAAGCAACATCACAGTGGCAGCCATAGGAGCCTAAGTTGCATAGAGTTATAATTTTTTTTTAAATAAAAGACCGTTTTCCTAACGGCAAGATAGATGAGCAGCCAGTGAGATTATGACTGTTCATACTCTATAATCAAGAAAGAAAGAAGAACTTTTATGAATGAAAAAGGTAGATATTTCAAAAGACAGCCACGATTTCATCATAAAGACTCCAGAACTCAGACAGTTTTGGGATCCAAAACACATTAACTGAAGAGTCAGTCAGAACCCCAGGAGGAAGGACTGACAATACCACAGCCATTGTGCACAGTGATGGTTCCTCAGTCCTTTCTGGAAGAGACCAATGGTCAATTTACTTGCCTGGTTATACACTGAGAAAATGGACAACATAAAATCTTTTCAAAACCATTAGACAAGGGCTTGAGCTAATATTGATAGCCAGCATTCAAGCTGTCATTGTGACTTCTTGGTAAGAGTGGAGACAAATGTGAGTGAGGTGATGAGTAGAGTCTGGCCTAGGTCCTCACAGTGGGTCCAGAGCTTCTAAGGCCACAATCCAATGATCATTTCCCTGGTTGCTAAATGTATAGTTGGAACTAACATAATTGATACTTCCACATTTCCTACATTTGCTATTTGGCCTATGTGGAGTGAGAGCTGACTTAGTGTGAAAGGACAACTGAAAGTTTTTAAACTGTTCTTCTATAATATAAGATAGTAAATATAAAAATATCACATCCTAAAATAGGTGGCAGAAATAAGTGCTATTTCTAAAGAGTCTAAACTAAAGAATACAAGTGAAGTGTCCTCATTTTATCACCTGTTAATTCACCAGCCTGGCCTGTGCAAAGACCAGCTGAATTCAAGGATGACAGCAGACTCCTTTAATCTCAAGCAAGTAATAAACTCAACTCAGCTGTAGCTGTTCTGCCAGATGATAGATAATCTGTAGAACAGATTAACATAGGCTAATATACATGATATGAGCCATTGACCTGGTAAATATGTTTGCATCACCTTTGTCCAAAAACAGTTTGCTTTGACTTAGATTAAAAGCAGTTTGCAGTCACGTGAAAAGGTCAATGGTATACATTTATAGCCTTCACTCAGGGCCATGATAACTCTTCTTTCCTTTGTTATAATCTGAAGAGACCTAAGAGACCTAGAACTACTGGATGTTTTGCAGAGTTTTGTCCTGTGTCTCTATGTCAATTGCATTAAGCTAATAATCCCAGATGAGAAAGAAATGCTAGTACATTAGTGGCCTTTGTGGAAACATGCCCTCCAAGGCACGTGCATGCCTTATAGCAGAGAGCATAATAAAGCTGCACAATGCCTAGTAGGCCTATCTGGCTTCTGAAGACAGCATACTCTACACTAGGAATACTATTCGGATCAATAGGCAGGATGAATACCAGCTTTAAATGGAGTCTAGATGTTGTATAGCATGAGCAGGTTATGGTACAAAACACCCAGCTACTTTGAGCAATATGATGCAATATGACCCTATCATATTAGAGCATCAATAAAGGAATTCCAATGAATCCCACTAGAGTTCTGGAATGGAACTGTGTTATGTGTATCAGAAAATTACAAAATTTTCAGAAAACTGCTGGCATTCTCTTGGACCTTGGTAAATACAGAGAGTCTAACCATGGTATAATAAATGACCATGTGGCCAGAGCTGCCCATAATGAGCTGGTTAATGTCAGATCCACCAAGTCACAGGTCATGCAGACCAGCAACAGTTGAACAATCCATTGTAAGATAGCAGTGGTATATCCTGGATATCACCTGAGCAGTACCAGAGGGCATAAGAAAGCTATATGTGCAGGTGGGGCAGGACAATCACATCAATCACCTCTGTAGTTAATCTCTGCAGGTGCTCACATTTATGCCACAGGGAGGCTCCCGATGACCAGCTAATAGAAGAGGAAGAATTCATAGCTTGGTCATAAATGTGTTGGTTTAGTGCATGGGGTGGCTTTGAAATACTATGGCAAGAAGAAATTTTCCCAAAGGGGAAAACCTTGGATATTGACTAGTCATGCACTTTGAATAGAAAGAAAACTTGAATTTAGAATAGTCATTGAATCACAATGCTATTCCTATTAAACTACCATAGACATTCTTCACATAACTAGAAAAAACTGTTTTGAAATTTGTTTATTTACTTTTTTTGAGATGGGGTCTCACTCTGCCACCCAGTCTGGAGTGCAGTGGTACAATCTCGGTTCACTGCAACCTCCGCCCCCCAGGTTCAAGCGATTCTCCTGTCTCAGCCTCCCGAGTAACTGGTATTACAGGCCAAAAGAGAGCCCAAATACCCAAGGCAATCCTAAGCAAAAAGTACAAAGCTGGAGGCATCATGCTACCTGACTTCAAACTATGCTACAGGGTTATAGTAACCAAAACAGCATGGAACTGGTACAAAAACAGACACATGGACCAATAGAACAGAATAGAGAACCCAGAAATAAGACCACACACCTACAACTATCTGATCTTCAACAAACTTGATGAAAATAAGCCTTGGGGAAAGGATTTCCTATTCAATAAATAGTGCTGGAATAACTGACTCACCATATGTATAGGATTAAAACTGGACCCCTTATTTTTAGTATATGCAAAAATTAACTCAAGATGAATTGAAGAGTTAAATGTAAAACCAAAAACTATAAAAACTCTGGTAGGCAACCTGGGCAATATCATTCAGGGTATAGGCATGGGCCAAGATATCATGAAAAAGATGCCAAAAGCAATTGCAACAAAAGCAAAAGTTGACAAATGGGATACAATTAAACTAAAGAGCTTCTACACAGCAAAAGAATCAACAAAATAAACAGACAATCTACAGAATGAGATAAATTTTTATTGCAATCTATTCCTCTGACAAAGGTCTAATATCCAGCATTTGTAAGGAACTTAAACAAATTTAAAGAATAAAAAAATAACCTGATTAAAAAGTGGGCAAAGGACATGAAAAGACACTTTTCAAAAGCAGACATATGTGCAGCCAACAAACATACGAAAAAAGCTCAGCGTCACTGATCATTAGAGAAATGCAAATCAAAACCACAGTGAAGCTGGGTGCTGTGGCTCATGCTGTAATCCCAGCAATTTGAGAGGCCGAGGTGGGCGGATTACCTGAGGTCAGGAGTTTGAGACCAGCCTGGCCAACATAGTGAAAGTCCATCTCCACTAAAAATACAAAAATTATCCGGGCATGGTGGTGTACACCTGTAGTTCCAGCTACTCAGGAGGCTGAGGCAGGAGAATCACTTGAACCCAGGAGGCAGAGGTTGCCATGAGCCAAGATCATGCCACTGCACTCCAACCTGGGCAACAGAGCAAGACTCTGTCTCAAAAGAAAAAAAAAAAAAGAGAGATATCATCTCACACCAGTCAGAATGGCTATTATTGAAAAGTCAAAAAACAACAGATCAGATGCTGGTGAGGTTTTGGAGAAAAAGGAACCATTTTACACTGTTGTTTGCACCGTAAACCAGTTTAGCCATTGTGGAAGACAGTGTGTCAATTTCTCAAAGACCTAAAAACAGACATACCATTTGACCCAGCAATCCCATTACTGGGTATACAACCAAAGGAGTATAACTCATTCTATTGTAAAGACACGTGCACATATATGTTCACTGCTGAACTATTCACAATAAAAAAGACAAGGAATCAACCTACATGCCCATCAATGATAGGCTGGATAAAAAAAATGTGGTACATATACACCATGAAATACTATGCAGCCACAAAAACGAATGAGATCATGTCCTTTGCAGAGACATGGATGGACCTGGAAGCCATTATCCTTAGCAAACTAATGGAGAAATAAAAACCAAATACCACATGTTATCACTTATAAGTAGGAGCTAAATGATGAGAACACATGGACACATAGAAGGGAACAACACACACTGGAACCTTTAAGAAGATGGAGGGTGGGAGGAGGGAGAGAGTCAGGAAAAATAACTAAAAGGTACTAGGCTTAATACCTGAGTGATGAAATAATCAGTACAGCAAACCCCCATGACACAAGTTTACCTATGTAACAAACCTGCACTTGTACCCCTGAACTTTAAATAAAAGTAAAAAAACAAAAATATGCATTGAATCATGAGCAGTGGCGAATGTTTTGGCTGGTTGGTCAAGGCCTAGAAGGAGACCTTATAAGACTGAAGGAAGGTGATCTCTAGTAGAGACATATGGATGGACTTGTATTTCTTGTTTACAATAACTCAGAATTTAAGAGGGATGGGTAGTAGAAGATAATACCATAATGGGAAAAAAATATATATGGTTTAATGGAGGTAATTTATCAATAGGAGGGAGTATTTACTTCTTATTTAGAAGAAGAATAGTTTTTTGGAGGAAAAGACTAAAGGTGGTGAAATGAGCATCCATTTTTGTAGCTGTATCAGCTGCATCTAGAATATTCCTGGCATACAACAGGTACTTAGTAAATACTTGTTAAAATACTTGTTGAATAATATAAACACACAAAATATATCACCAAGAGGGAAGTATATGGAATAAAATTGTGTAAAATTTCAAAAAAATAGGTAACAATGTTCAATTGATGATTAAAATGATGGGTTACTGGCAGTTTGTAATTGAGTCAACTTAAAGAAGTTAAGTTACTTAATGTCACCAAGATTCTATTTCTTTAGTTTATTTTATAAAATGTAATTATTGATTATATTCACCTCATATATTTTTTGATATAAATGTGTGATTGCATCTAAATGCATCTAAGCCTACTAGTGTTGATTTAGTAAATGCTTAAGAATATTTAACCATTTAATAAAGTTATTCATGAAATTATTGCAAACAAACTGTAATTTATACATAAGAAAAATATCAGTGTCTCAGTGTTTATTCTCTGTATTTGCCAATATATAGCAGCATGCTTTCACTCAGCAGGAAAAAGATACCTCAAATGGCTGTCTCTATTTAAAGATTAAGTGAAAATTGGGAGGGTGAAGAGCTAATTTCATAGTCAGTTGATTGTATTTTTTCACTTTAAAATATGCTTATTGCTTATTGCCTCTAGTACACTTGAGCATGTAAATCTGTTCATTATATTTACACACTGATTCAAGAGCTAAAAGACAGATGACAGAGATTTAAACAAAGTGAGTGAAAAACCAAATTCTCCTTTTGCTGATGTACGCTTTTTCTCACAGAAATGCCTAAATGCATTAGCTGAAGTGAGGCTGGGAGGATCCTTATTAATACTTACATCTGTTGTTGCAGATGTAGATAAAATGCCTTTCTTTTTTTTAATTTTAGAAAAAGACTGGTAAATGATGTACTTAAAAAAATCTTCATTTTGAAATACTTTTCTGCATTTCTCTACATTTTTATATTCAGTGTTAAATATATACATATTGAAATATACAAATTACTATATGCCACAGTTTTTAAAAGCATTTCAACAGTTAATATAAGCAAGAAAACAACGAAGCTTTTGTTTAAAATATAAAAGAATCAATTCATATTGATCTGAGTAATCTCAAGCTTTTAAAGAATAATTTGTCTACTTTCCTTGACAAAGCAAAGATTTGTTCTCTTCATTCAGTTCTCCAACCTTTTCTTCATTAAAAAGTTTCAAAAAATTAAAAAAAGGAATGTCTATATGTCCATTTTATGATGAATTGTCTTAAGCCAGTGTGTGACGATGTTACAACCATTATTATTTTTAAAAGGACTCTGTGTACACTTGAATTTCCTGATTTCAAATCATTCCTACATTTTAGAATAATGTGTAGGTCATTTAAGATTTCTTATTAAATTATTAAGGCACATACAAGCTCAAAAATATTATGAATGCTAGTAGTAATCAAATTCCTAAAATACACATTAATACAGCAATTTCTAATTAGTAAATCATTTCTTTTTATAGAAAATATTTTTGCTGTGCATTTCAAATCAGCCTATGAGGGATGGAGAAGGAGAAATAATTTTCATTCCAGGTGATTCGGCCGCTCTTAAAAGAGTCAGCATGTCTGAGAATTCATTTCTACTGCAGCCAACATCTACTGACAATCTTTTACTTGACAGCATTTCTAACAAGCCAATTCTTTCCAAATGCGTGTTCTGCTTAAACGCTAGTCATACTCTGCAGCCAGGATGTTATGAAAGATGACTTTTTAGCATGTCTTTATCTACGGTGAGAATGAGTTTGTTTTATTTTTAATTCAGTTTTAAATTTGTGAAAGTTGAGTATGCGAATTGGGTCATTCTTGCCATACTCAATTAAATCAGAGGTGAGAGGCCAGGGAAAATGCACTCGGGATATAAAGCACAGCTTCAGGAATTGAATTCTTTGCAAGCCCGGCATCGGAAACTACCTGCTGTAACCCTGAGGCCGTTTTGACCTAGTGACTGCTAACATGACCTGCCGTGACTCTTAGTTTTACCTACCACCGTCACTAGACAATCAGAGCTTGCCAGCACCCAAAAGTTTATCTAGTGACAATAAGCTTTGTTTTAAAACCATACGTAACATTTCTCTGACTCCAAACTTTTCTTTGTTCTTCAGACACACAAAAGACCACCAAGTCTGTGTGTGTGCCTGAAATGTAATTCTTTAAGTCCTGAATAAAATGTTAAGTTTAGAGATGTATTCTCTCATTTTATTTTGACATCAACAAATTATTCATTTGAGCAAAAGTTACTTAGAATGCGTGAGAATCAGGTGGGGTTGAAAATTAAATGTTAAAGGTTATTGATCATCACATAGGTAAATGACTTTGTTCTGGAAGGCAGAACACAAAAAGAAGTTTTACTCTTTTTTTGACCTTAAAGAAATTGGGGGTAAAAGTTATTAGGTTGGTAATTGCAGTAATTGCATTAAAAGTAATGGCAAAACCGCAATTGCTTTTGCACCGACCTAATGAATACCTAGAAATTCTCAGTAAGTAAGGCCTGAAATGGAAAGAGGTTAAGCTGTGCACAAGGATTTAGCTGAACTGCTTGGAGAGGAATCCTGGCTCTAAGTGGTAGATGCTTCTTCTACTGAATTGGCCCAGAAGTGGCAAGGCCTTCAGAAATCAAGTTAGAATAGTAGTGAAGCAAAGTTTGACACCAGAGGATACAGTCTGGTGTCTACTTCTAGGAAACAAAATGAAAAACAGGTCTCCAAGAAATTGAGACTCTTACTAGTAGAATCCACATTTTCTACCTGAAACCATCCATCCTATATTAGCTACATAAGTAAGTTAATCTCCCTTATAAAACAGAGGCATTTGTGGAGGAAAGAAATATAAAACTATATTTAGTAAGACAAGGCAAATAGTAAACATCTCAAAGTAAAATATCTTAGCTCATTAATACATAATTTCACTAAATGAATATTTATATTATCTTTACTAGATAAGGATATCCTTACTGATAACCTTATCAGATATCATGAAGAATGCTGGGGACCTGGTGGTAAACAAAAATATTCTGACCTTTCCTTGGGTAGCTTATATTATAGTGAGGGACAAAATTGAACAAGTGTATAAATAAGATGGTTCCAAAATGTGCTATGTTTTGTAAACAGAGTAAATAGGATGAGTTAATAGTGACCCTGGGAATAAAGCAACCAAGGGCAAAACTGAGAAAGAGCAACCAAAGAAGACAAAAGCTAGTGCAAAATCACAAGATGTAAAAGCTATTGCAGGATCATGGAGAAGGACGGTGTGGTTGGAATATAGTCAGTGAGTGGATATTTCTGTAACTTTAGCTGAAGGCATCAGCAGGAAACAAATGTAAGAGAATCTTATAGGTCCTGGTAATCAGTTTAGATTTAATTTGACAAGCAATGGAGAAACCTCTAAATACTTTTTAAAGGAAACTCATCTAATATTATATTTTAAAAATAAGTTCTCTAACTTCTGTGTGAATGCATTTTAGGGAATGGTGATGAGAAGATTATTCCATTGAAACCAATTTTGGGGATAATACAGTTGTCCAGATGATATCTGGTTAAGGGTAGGGCCATGGAGGTAGAGAGAAGTGGAAGGAATTTGAGATTTAGGAGAAAGAGCTTGTGAACTTGTTAATGAATTATACATGGGCTCCAGAAATGGGAGAATCAAGGATGATTCCTATATTTGTGACTTAAGAAATGATAGATTGGCTTTGGAAATTAAGACTTCTGGTTTGGAAATTTTTGGTTAAAATTATGATTAGACAACCTGGGGGAATTGTTAAGTAGTTACATATACTGATATGAAGCAACACTGGAGTCATTTACTTACATCTGTATGTGTATTCTTTTTGTTTTATTCTTCCTTAGTTTCTAAGTAAAGTTTATTTTGAAAATTATAGTTCATCATCTCATAAAAGAATGGAATGAAAAAAAGACAATTAAAAGAAAGGTTATTTTTTCTACACACCTATACCTGCAGAGCTAAGAATGTTAGAACACCTCTGGAGAGCAGTAATTACAATTTAAGCAACCATCTTGAAATATGGTGGTGAAAACCTGATATCATTTACAATGAGTTCCCTGAAGTCATAATAGCGTTTGCATCATGATTACAGAATGTATCTTATTATGGAGCTGGAATTTCCTCATTTACTTCTTTTCTAAACCATTATTAAACTGTCATTGCTGTTAATATTTACTCACATTTACCCCATCTTCCACGAATAGAAATAGTAAATCTCCCTTGTACCCTCACTGTATGATAGTTTGGCTGTGTTCCCACCCAAATTTCATCTTGAATTATAGCTCCCATAATCCCCATGTGTCATGGGAGGGATCCAGTGGGAGATAATGTAATTATGGGGGGGGGTGGATGATTTTCACATGCTGTTCTTGTGATAGTGAATAAGTCTCATGACATCTGGTGGCTTTACAAAGGGCAGTTCCCCTGCACACACTCTTGTCAGCCACCATGTAAGATGTGCCTTTGCTCTTCCTTCACCTTCCTCCATGATTGTGAGGCCTCCTCAGCCATATGTAACTGTGAGTTCATTAAACCTACTTTCCTTAATAAATACCCAGTCTCAGGTATGTCTTTATTAGCAGTGTGAGAACAGACTAATACAGTAAATTGGTTCTGAAAGAGTGGAGTGCTGCTGTAAAGATACCTGGAAATGCAGAAGCGACTTTGAAACTAGGAAACAGGCAGAGGTTGGAACAGTTTGGAGGGTTCATAAAAAGATAGAAAACTGTGGAGAAGTTTGGAACTTCCTGGAGACTTGGAGGGCTCAGAAGACAGGAAGATGTGGGAAAGTTGGAACTTCTTAGAGATTTGTTGAATGGCTTTGACCAAAATGCTGATAGTGATATGGATGATAAAGTCCAGGATGAGGTGATCTCAGATGGATATGAAGAACTTGTTGGGAACTGGAGCAAAGGTGACTTTTGTTATGTTTTAGCAAAGAGACTGCTGGTATTTTGCCCCTGCCCTAGAGATCTGTGGAGCTTTGAACTTGAGAGAAAAGATTTAGGGTATCTGGCAGAAAAAATTTGTAAATGACAGTGTTCAAGAGGAAGCAGAGCGGCCGGGCGCGGTGGCTCCTGTAATCCCAGCACTTGGGGAGGCCGAGACGGGCGGATCACGAGGTCAGGAGATCGAGACCATCCTGGCTAACACGGTGAAACCCCGTCTCTACTAAAAATACAAAAATTAGCCGGGCATGGTGGCGCGTGCCTGTAGTCCCAGCTACACGGAAGGCTGAGTCAGGAGAATGGCGTGAACCCGGGAGGCGGAGCTTGCAGTGAGTCGAGATCGCGCCACTGCACTCCAGCCTGGGCGACAGAGCGAAACTCCGTCTCAAAAAAAAAAAAAAAAAAAAAAAAAGAGGAAGCAGAGCACAAAAGTTTGGAAAATTTGCAGCCTGCTAATGCAATAGGAAAAAAAAAAAAACTTTTTGGGGAGAAATTCAAGCCTGCTGCAAAAGTTTACATAAGTAACAAGGAGCTGAATGTTAATCAACAAGACAATGGGGAAAATGTCTCCGGCACATGTCAGACTTTCACAGCAGCCCTTCCCATTACAGACTCAGAGGCCTAGGAGGGACAAGTGGTCTCTTGGGCTGGGCCCAGGACACTCCTATCTGTGCAGCCTTAGGACATGGTGCCCTGCACCCCAGCTGCTTCAGCTCCAACGTGGCTAAAAGGGGTCAATGAACAGCTCAGGCTCTTGCTTCAGAAAGTGCAAACCCCAAGCTTTTGTGGCTTACTTGTGGTATTAGGCTTGCAGATGCACAAAAGTAAAGTACTGAGGTTTGGAAATCTCCACCTAGATTTTAGAGAATGTATGGAAATGCCTGGAATTCCAGGCAGAAATTTGCTGCAGGGGTGGAGCCCTCATGGAGAACCTCTGTTAGGGCAGTACAGCAGGGAAATGTGAGGTTGAAGCTCCCACACAGAGTCCCCGCTGGAGTACTGCCTAGTAGAGCTATAAGAAGAGGGCCACCATTCTCCGGACCCTACAATAAGTAGATTCACTGACAGCTTGCATTGTGAGCCTGGAAAAGCCGGACCCTCAATGTCAGCCTGTGAAAGCAGTCAGAAGGAGGGCTGTACCCTGAAAAGCCACAGGGGTGGAGCCACCCAAGGCTGTGGAAGCCCACCTCTTGCATCAGCATGACCTGGATGTGAGACATGAAGTCAAAGTAGATCATTTTTGAACTTTAAGGTTTAAAGACTGCCATACTGAATTTTGGACTTGCATGAAGCCTGTCCATTTTGGCCAATTTCTATCATTTGGAATGGGTATATTTACTCAATGCCTATGTCCCTCATTGTTTCTAGGAAGTAACTAACTTGCTTTCGATTTTACAAGCTCATAGGTGGAAGGGACTTGCTTTGTCTCAGATGAGACTTTGGACTATGGACTTTTGGGTTAATGCTTAAATGAGTTAAGACTTTGGGGGACTTTTGGGAAGGAAAGACTGGTTTTGAAATGTGAGAACATGAGATTTGGGAGGGTAAAGGGGTGGAATGATATGTTTTGCCTCTGTCCTCATCCACATCTCATCTTGAATTGTATTGCCCATAATGCCCACATGTCATGGGAGGGACCCAGGGGGAGGTAATTGAATCATGGGGGTGGATTTTTCCCATGCTCTTCTCATGATAGTGAATAAGTCTCATGAGATCTGATGGTTTTATAAAGAGCAGTTTCCCTGCACATGCTGTCTTACGTGCAGCCATGTAAGATTTGCCTTTACTCCTCCTTTATCTTCTATCATGATTTTTGAGGCATCCCCAGCCATGTGGAAATGCGAGTTTATTAAACCTCTTTTCCTTTATAAATTATCCAATCTCAGGTATGTCTTTATTAGCAGTGGAAGAACAAAGTAATAGAGTGTATCACATGAACCTTTCTAACATGGCATCCAACATATTTTAGTTCCTTATTCTACTAGATTATTACCACATTGATATTGTGATGGTATCTTAATTTTCTGAATGAAGAAATACATGAGTGAGTGAACAATACTAATGTGGCAACACTAGGGAATAGCTCAATGGGATTACCGTTGAAAAGTTTTGCTTTTGGATCCTGCTTTGCTACAATTTGGTATTGATAACGGGTAGAAGTAGAAATGAAGGAAACATAAGATGAAATGTCCCTAAACAATGAAGAACTGAAACTCTTGATACATTCAATTATATTGCTTTTTACTACAGCACCTATAAATAAGCATCACTACCTTAAAGTGTAAGAGAGAAACTGCATGTTTCTAATACACACATGTCACACAAGCAAGGATTGTGTATGAGTTTCGCCTGTAATAAAACAAAATATAGATAGATTTAATTTACTATAAAATCCCTGTTAATGGAACAGAACTTAGCTTCTCCTACTAGCATATATTGTTCATTTTATGAAAAAGACACAAGAAGCCAAATTGGAGCAATAAAATGCTTTGTAAGCATAACATTGGAACAAGAAATATAAACTTTATGATTTAATGAATGAAGAACATAAAGCTAGGATAAATGATATATAAACATATAGACATATACAAGTGACTGGTATTTGTAAAGTCTACCTTAAATTATCAAAGCATCTAATCTGAACAGCCCTTACAGTGTTACTTCTAATAATTTACATTTAATTTCTACTCTCTGTACTTTGCCCTCCACTCTTCCATTGAAATATTAGTACCTATAATCTATCAGCATTTTGCTAGTTGATAGTAATAGAAACACAAACAAAACAAGATGAGGTAAATCTGTAAGCAAAAATAAAAAGTGAGAAAGTACAAACAGAAATACTAAATAAGAGCAAGTTTCAGAGGAAGTATTACGTAGGTAGTGATTAACAATGGAAGGAGATGCTCAAGCTCTTGGCTTTCCAAACAGAGCTATATTTAATGAAAACTTGAAAAATAGACAGGGCTTTAGCTGATAGATTGATGGTGAGAACTTTACACAAGAAGAAAGAGTATGTCTAAAGATACTTGATGGTGAGAAATTTCCAGAATAAGAAAGAATATATCTAAAGATACTAAGGATAAATAAATCTGCGCAATGTGTTCAGGAACAATACATAATTGAGTACTGAGCATTGTTCTGTGAATTTGCCTCAAATTCTTACTGTTAAGAAACATAATACTGTTTGTTAAGACCAGTATTATGAGAGAAATATTTTGTTTTAGTTCATTTAAGTTTTATAATATATATTTTGTATTTTACATGAAAACATAGTCTTTCAGAATAAAAAAGATTTAATAGATTTATATGAATTTATAAAGCTGTCATAATATAAAAATTATATTATCCAATCAAATACAACTAAATGATAGAATTCCTTAATTTGATATTATAATGGTAATCACAGTGATGATTCAGAAAATTAAACTTTCTTCTCTATGTTGGAAGTGCTCTAAGACTTTGGCATAATGTTTGAAAGTGATGAAGATATACAGTTGTCATTTTGAAATGTGAAATATAAAACAGATTTTATTTTAGACATTTATAGGGAAAAAGTATTTTTTCATTACTAGTTTTATAAGTTGTTTGCTCTTAGACTCCTAATGAGTCCTCTTTCATTATCTGTAGCTGTTCTGAAACATAAGCTCTCTACTGAATGCCATCCATGTCCACTAACACACATTATACTGGGTCTAGATTCTGCAGAATATTTGAAGTGAGTCAGAAGATTGTAAATAATATGGAATTTTCTTCAAGTCTTAGGTCTACAGTGACCTCTTCTTGATAACTATTCCTGAGGGAAAGTGGTATTGGGTTTTCCAATTCTGTGATCCTGTATTAAATGTATGTATCTGTTTTAGAACTCATTACATAAAATTGCAATTATTTATTTACACATCAATCTATTTTTTATAACCTGGAAAGCCTTAGAGGCAGCAGTAGATTTAAGTACTTTTGATATCCCTGCACCTAAAGAAATGCATGATAGTAGTCAGTGTAAATTTATTTTGTGTCTGATGGATTAAATTGAATTAAAATGTATGGAAAGAAAGGAAGTTATCTCAGATTGCAAAGTTTGTGGTGGTGTATTGAGGAATAACTTGCAAAATATATTTTGGGAGCCTTTTAAATGTTATATAACAGTACATATTTTAATACTTAACTCAAAGTTTACTCTTTCACTAAGCAATCAGCATAAACACCTTAAATCACATGTTAGCTACAGCATTCCTCCCTAGACTACAAAAAGATGTGACATAATTCTGAAGAGGCAGGAATGAAAAATAAAAATTAATTGGAAAAGAATCACTCCACTCTCCCTCTGAAAGATTGCCATTGTCCAAAATTTCAGTTACTTTGAACAAGTAACTATTTTATAAAATGAAAATATTAATGAGAATTAAAATTAAAATGCAAATAGCTTAATCTTTCTTTGCTACTTTAAATTAAATTTAGAATTTGACCGGGGGAAAAAAAAAAACAGAAGGAAATGAAGGTGTAGCTTCAAAGCAGAGTTCATAAAGCAGACAGTCCTTGGGGGTTGAAGGTGAAATGATAGCATGAGTTCATTATAATGGATTGTTCCACAAAGAGATGGAACTAATAGGCATCACCAAAAAGGATGACCCTGTAATGTGCATGTTTAAGATGACATAATAGGATAAAATTTGAAGGCTACAGATCAATTGTTCAGAAGCTCAATAAGAGTAACTTTACAATTTGAAATAAGAAAGTTTAGAAAGCATTTAATTTATTCTATTACAATAATAAATTACATGTCCTTTTGTCTTGGAAATTTTGATTTCTATTTCATGCATTTTTTATTTCCCAAAGTAGTTTGATTAATAAAATATCACGCTTTTATTTATGAGCAACTATGACAGTGTAGTATGGGATGAACAATCAAGTAAATTTTTTCCTGCTTTAAGTTGCTGTTAAAAATGAAAATAATCCATGAGTTAATACAGGTTTTCAGGGTTTTTATACTGTATGGTCGGCATATGAATAGCTAGGAATCTTAAATAAACTGATGCTTTGTATTGAAAAGCAAAAAAACACAAAAAGTATTTTAAACTTCTATTTTGATTATATTGTCCCTGACCTAGTCTTAGGGAAGCAAGAGCTTGCCATTAAGGAATCTCTGTATAGCAATGTGGTTTTCCTGCTCATTTTGACATCTGCTGGGCAGCAGCAGGGTGAGACTTGCAAAGAAATGAAAAGGATGGAAGAGTTGAATGTGTGAGTTTTTTTTAGCTGATCACACTACTCTTCTATAGTCTTCATTATTCCATTGTCTGTTCCAAATTTTTCTTTCCCCTAAATTAAACCTCTCGATTTACTAGTGAATGCGGTATTTCTTAGAATTTGTTCTATAGAATCATAGTTTTATGAGCTATTATTTAGAAAACAAAAAAATGCTAGGGTAAAATAACTTTGAGAGAGAGTGTGAAACAAAGTTAAGCAGATTTCTTTACCACAGGTTTGTTTAGAGGATTTCTGATTCTAATGTATGTTATAAAACTCCATAAAAGGGATATTTTATGTGGGATGTTTTCCATATTTATTTGATGACTAGTAGGTTTGTATGAATACCTAAGCACATTAGACCTGGGGTTTAGCAAAGGAAGATCACCAGTGATGTGAGAGTCAGCATTTTTTTTTTTTTTTTTTGAGATGGAGTCTCGCTCTGTTGCCCAGGCTGGAGTGCAGTGGCATGATCTCAGCTCAGTGCAACCTCTGCCTCCCAGGTTCAAGTGATTCTCCTGCCTCCACCTCTATGGTGGCTCACAACTGTAATCCCAGCACTTTGGGAGGCCGAGGCAGGCAGACCACCTGAGATCAGGAGTTTGGGACCAGTTTGGCCAACATGGTTAAACCCCGACTCCATCAAAAATACACAAATTGGCCGGGTATGGTGGCTCCTGCCTGTAATTCCAGCTACTCAGGAGAGTCAGCATTCTCAACAGTCGCCCGAGAACAACTGAAAGTGTATTAAAGTATATTTAAGATATAAAGAATGATTATGAGGACACAAAAGGGGCATCCCTAATTTCAGTTGGTGTATCATTCAGATTACAGATGGGCAGTGACTGATTTAAAGGCAGTATTGACTCCAATCTTGCTCTAGAAGAACTAAATACTCTCCTTACCCCATTGCCATAGTCTTCCAGTTATTAAATTGGGAAAAAATAGAACAAGATGAAATAGCTACTCACTTCCAAAAATAAGGAAAGCATAATGTTGAAGGGCTAATATCCTCGCAATATAGAGCAAAAGGAGACATATAAAGGTATTTAACTCACTGGTTTCTATTTACAGACTTCCAGGATGTTTGATAGCATACTTATCCTCAGGACACCTACAAGGGAACTGCTGAGGCAAGAGTAATCCAATATCCCATCTTAATCTGCCATTGGAAAGATAAGGCATCTACTGAAAATGTGTGAAGATGGGGAGGGAGTTGAGACTCACAATAAAAATTGGATGGGCATTGCTCTGCTGGGGAGGATGGAACAATTCATAAGACATAACTGAGACAAAAACCAAGTTACCATCCCCTCCCATTAGATGGAATAATTTTTAAAATAAGTATTTCTAGCAGACATTTTTAAGAAAAATCTCTAAAGTATTTTTCAAAATCTTAGGCTTGCAAATTGAATTTTGGAAAGGGTTCATACATCAGAGCTGCAAATGATTATACTTACCCATACCTACTTGCCCTGGCAATATGTAAGTGGGACAGAGGAAGAGGGAGAAAAGGAGTCTAAAAAAAGTAACAAAATAATGATTACCGGAAGTAAGTAGGAACATTTAGGTCTATAATAAAACACCACTATAACCTGCCACCTAACATGGGAGCATTGCCAAACTCTAAGACCACGGATTCCTTTGACGAGATGCAGAGAAAGTAAGTAAATAGATTCTTGATAGGTGAAAACATAAGCAAAGAGCCAGATGCCAGTCTGCGAGCCCACTTGTGAGCTTGATAGGCCAGAAGCTTCAAGTGACCAGAAGACCTAGGGAAGACTCCAAAGTGTCAGTGAGCATTAGAAGAAGAAAAGCAATGATGGTAATACCCAGGGATCAAAGGCTAAGACACTATTATTTTTTCCTGGACTAGTTAAGTCTCAATATTCTTGTCAATCTCAAGTAGGGAAGGTCTATATCTTACGAGGATAAAGAATAAGACATTTGTAACACAATGGAGGCAGACCTTTCTATTATTTTGAAAATGAAAGAAAAATAAAGAGGATATGATTGTTAATGAGAATAAAAAGGCATACAATTTTTTAAAAGTACTCATTTTCACCCATTTTTCTTTTTTTTTTTTTTTTTTTGAGATGGAGCCATTTTACTTAAAAGATGTTTATATATTGAAGGCTTGTCTGCTAAAATGAAATAGAATATCTTATCAATAATATTCTATAGTAATTTGTAGTAAAATAAAGGTGAATGATTTTTAAATCTATAACATTCTAAAGGGGATTTTGTGAATCTTGTGTTCCATAAAATGCATACTTTGGAACTAAGTCACTTTAGTCTAATACATTGATCTTTCTTGTTTTAAATCATGGTAAAATTTTAAGCTATCCTAAGAATCTATAGCCACATATTTCAAAAAGTATCTACTATTTGCATATATTAACCATTGATATTTAAACACTGATATTGGATTCCTTCGCAATTATAACATATGAAATTAATTAGCTTCTGTGTTTATATTTTAACAATATTTACATAGCTTTAATAGACAGTATCATTAACTTACATTTTTAATATTAAAAAAGTATTATGACTATATCTTGTTCCAAAATAAGAGAGCAATTAGGTTACAACATCTGTCACTTCATTGATTATTAAGTATTATTTAAGTCATCTGACTTTCTAGGCAGATGTTCTTGTCCTCCCTCACAACTCCATGTGACTGTTTCCTGAATTGTCAAAGATTATATTTACTCTAACCAAATCATATAATTAGGTCTAAGGCTTTTCTAATTTTATATCACTTCATTAAACATTTTTTGAATGTTTATATTCAAGCATTGCATAGTTTATTGATGGAAGGGGTGGAATAAAACTATCTGACTTTGTGGTCTGGTAGAAGACAGTCACAAATAATTAAATAACCTATCATGTAAGTTGAAAACATATACAAAAATGAGTTAAAACAACAATATGCCTGTTGACTATTTTTAAAAATAGCAACTAATCTTAACAGAGTATTTTGTAAAAGCATAACAATTTCCTGAGTGACTTCTAAGGCCAATTTGTATTGTAATGGCTGGAAAGAGAAAGGGAAGGACAATCAGTTTGTGGTAAAAATATGAGAAAGGTAACAGAAGTTAAAACAAAAAGAGCAAATAGATTAGTTGAGGAATAGAAACAATTTCTATGTTACTGGGACGTAGGTTGCCTGGATAAAATTTTGACATGAGGCTGACAAAATCAGACCATAGAAGCCACTTGATGTTTCACTGAAGAATTTTGCTTGGAAAACTCTAAAGGGTTTTGAGGAGAGTAGCTGGAATCAGAGAGACCAGTTCAAAGCTGAGAAATGTCAATAATTCATGAAATTTGGCCTGGCATGGTGGCTCATGCCTGTAATTGCAGCACTTTGGGAGGCTGAGGAGGGTGAGTCTCTTGAGGCCAGGAGTTTGAGACCAGCCTGGCCAATAAGGTGAAGTCCAATCACCACTAAAAACACAAAATTTAGCTAGTCATGGGGGCACATGCCTGTGGTCCCAACTACTTTGGAAAACTTATGAAGTCCCTATTGAGGAAAAAAATTGATTAAAATTATTGAAGATCGCTACTTAAAGTAATTCAAAGGATGATGAAGCCATTAAATACAAAGAAGGACCCAAGAGAAGGATCAATTTTTGAGAGCCAATAAAATTTGATTTTGAATACACTGGATATATAAAGTTGTCTAAAGACTCATGGCTCATATTCAGCCAAACCTTATATATAGGTTTGAAACGTATTGAGTCAGAGGTAGCATTTACAACTGACGCATACTCATGTTGTCCAAAACTGTGGGAATAGATTAATCCAAGAAAAGTGCTTAGAGAGAAACTTGGAAAAGATCTAGTGCATATTGTTAAGCAATGAGTTCCTTAGGGTTAGAAGAACGTGGGCTGGCATGGGGACTGAAAATGTGCAGTTAGACCTGTAGAGAATCAAAAGAAAATAGACTTAGGGAAGCCAAAGACAGAGAGACTTTGAGGAGGAAGGGAGTAGTATAAGAACAAAAAGTGGATAAATAGGCATGACAACAGACCTCCAGCAGATTTTGCAAGATGAGAGCGAGCTACAGATTTCAAAGGATAAGGAGAAGATGGTAAGGAGGAAGACTAATCTTACGAGGATCTTAGTAATGAAAGTTATAAGAGAAATAAGATAACTCATTGGGAGATCACAGACTAGGGAAAATGTCTTCAGAATGAAAAAAAAGCACAAACATGATTAAAAATCAAACTGAAGAAGCTAGTTGGGAGGAAAAGATAATTCAAATAGTTCTAATTGTTTCAGCCCTCTACTCCCTCTTTGCCAGGTAATCTTACATGTTTTACACATGTAACTCAATCCTCACAATAATCTGTAATGTGGGTAAGGTCATTCCTATGGTACAGCACAGAGAACAGAGTCTTAGAAAGTTTAAGAAGGTTTCATAGTATGAGTGACAGAACCAGGAATCACATTAGTGCTATCTGAATCCAGAACCCATGTTCTTTTTATTGTCCACCTTGATTCATCAAGATTGATTCTGTAAAGCAATAGGCAAAGAATATTTGAAGACAGTTACAAGGTCCCCAAGTAAGTGAAATGTTGTTCTTTCCTTCATAACTAGTTGAAATCTTTTTCTTACCATAATTATTTCATATTTTTTCAGCCTCCTTCTGTAACAAATATTCTATATCCTCATTCTGCAAGTGTAAATGTAATTATCAGCCAGTTTAGCCTGAATTGTATTAGGTAGTGAAGGTCTTTCTAAGAAAGTTCCTTAGTACCTAACTGCATCTGAGGCAGCTCTTGCAGAGAAAACCTATCCTCTCTAAGTGCTACAACCATAGAACTCACTTCCTGTTTTTCTTTACCTGATCCCTTTGACATCATCTTCCAGCACCCCATCAGATAAAGTAGGATTTACAGTTCATAATATAATATGATATTTATAATATAATACAATATTTCACATACAAAAACATATGATATAGTAATCCTACTTTATTAATTATTGTTCTGTCTGATGTGTGTTCATCACATTGTATTTTATTCATTACACAGTTGTGTCAATCATACCAAGTGATTCATGACAAAAAGGTAGCAAGGAGATAATCTACTTTTTAATATAAAATGAATTAAAATATAAGCTGGCTATTAAATGGTCAACTGTGTTTTAAAGTGAGTCCTGCAATGAAATGATAAGTAGTAAGTACCTATCCATTACCAAAGTGATTCCTTCAAAGTAGAACAGGAGGACGATTAAAATTCTGTTGATAGAATATTTATTCATAGTCATTATTCAACAACAGACACTTCGTGACCTCATAAAAATGCTATCACCCATTTTCTCATTCATATGTAACACCAGAAAAAATTAAACTGGCCCCAATCATAATTTATATGGGCAATACAATCCCTTACTTATACTTTAATGCCATTTCATCAAAGAACTCTCATATTTGTCACTAAATGACATACTAAAATTCACAACAAGCTGATATCTAAGTTTTACTCTTCATTTAAGGGTGCAGTTATTTGATATAACCGACCCACGAAATACAAATAGCATAGACAAATAGAAATCTCCAAATAATGTATTATGTTAGTTTTCACCAAGGATAATGTGTTACCTAGAATTTATTCATAAAGTATTCTAAGTTAAATTTGAAGCCAAGTTGTATTTTTTTTCTTTTTCTTTCTTTTTGTTAAAACAAATAATACACACACCATATTGTGATAACTTTATTTTGCAGTAATTTTCAGGGTCCCACATTGTCTAATGAATACTTACATAATTCAGTTTGGTTTGGTAGGAAGAATTATGCCCTCACTCCTCCCAAATATGTGCATAATTTAATTTCCAGAACCTGTGAATAGCTGCTTTATAAGACAAAGGTGACTTAAAAATGTGATTAAAGATCTTAACTTAAGATAGGTAGATTATCCTGGATTATGTAATCACAGGGATCCTTAAATACAGAAAAGGGAGGCAAGAGAGTCAAAGTTAGATTCTGACCTCCAGGGTTATAAGATAATAAATTAATGTTGTCTTAAGCCCTCATGGTTATAATAATTTGTCACACTTCCATACAGAAGCCCCAGTTCTCAAACCAATTAAAGATCTTTTAAATGAATGCCTTAAAAAGTACCCTACCTAAAGTCAAGAAACCTGCAGACAAATGGAGCTTACATTGTTCCCAAAAACTTTCTTTGTACTTGGAGGTACAAGGCATATTGGGAGTGAATATATTGAGTGTGTGCTATTTTGTGACACATTTATTTAATAGACCGTATTAGTCCAAGGCTTACCATATCATTATTATATGTGCATATATGGCAAAAACAGATTATCACTGACAAAAATATGTACCCTTCTTGTAAATAAATAAATAATTCATCTGTAGCTTTTATATTTGTAAATCAGAAAACTTTGTTGTTAAAAATGTTGTATTTAGGAAACAATTGTATTAAATATTTATTATGTCCTTTTATTGTCTCAAGAAGTGTAGGGATAAAAAAGTTTGTACTTTATATATGAGGGTAAATTTTTCCTGAGCATTCGGTGGACCAAAATCAGGGACTCCCACAGGCAGTTCTAAAAGTGCATATTTCTGATCCCCATCTAAAAAATACTAAATCAGAAAGCGTTGTTGCTGTGATTCCTTTTGTCTCGTATTTTGCCTCAGGGATTTTTGTACATAATATAATTTGAGAACATTTTGAGACCATTGGTAGAGGATGGGGGAAGGGTATGCTATAAAGACATCATATTTTATATTCATTTTGTATTATTACTAACAGAAAGAAACAAAGCACTCAGAAGAAACTCAGCATTGAAGCAGCCCTATTTGCCTAGGGCTCAGGAAGGCAAATGACTTTATTGAACAAATGACCCTGTGTTAAGTTTTTGAGGGTAAAGTAGATTATAGGTAGAGGAAATAAATACAGAGACATATTCTTATGAAAGTTTGGAAATGCTGACATAATGATGAATTTAGCTTTTATCAAGATTCCACAGTCTGTATTTTCTATATGTATGTATATGTACATATGTATTTTCTATATGTAGGTATATATGTAGATACGTATTTTCTATATGTATTTATATATGTAGATACGTATTTTCTATACGTATGTATATATGTACATACGTATTTTCTATATGTATGTATATATGTACATACGTATTTTCTATATGTACGTATATATGTACATACGTATTTTCTATATGTACGTATATATGTACATACGTATTTTCTATATGTATATATATACATATTTTCTATATGTATGTGCATACATATAGATACATATAGAAAATATATGCATGTATACACACATGCACATATACTTACATGTAAATACAAATATATGAATCGACATATGTAAATTTTTGACAGCATGAGTCTTCACCTATACCCCCAAATCTAATCTAGCTCACAATGTTTCCTTTTTTATCTTTAACCTTCTTTCTGCTATGCTTTTGTAGTGAGAATCCTGGTTCATAACATCATCAACATATTCATTCATTTGTTGAATTCTATAATGCATATAAAATAGTTTAAAAATTGCTTCACCTATACCACCAAGGTAAGCAAACCACTTAAGAGAATATACATTGCTTGCAATTATTTGCCTCTGCTGCCCCTACCCAAGCCTAATGTTATAGAGTCATAGATTGAATGCATGTGTTATTTCCCATTAACTATCTCTTTCTCTTCAGTATAAATATAATATCCATTGGTGATACGGGTTGGCTCTGTGTCCCCACCCAAATCTCATCTTGTAGATCCCATAATTCCTACATGTTGTGGGAGGGACCTAGTGGAAGAAGACTGAATCATGGGGGCGGGTCTTTGCTCATGCTCTTCTCATTATAGTAAATAAGTCTCTCAAGATCTAATGGTTTTTAAAAAAGGAAATTTCCCTGCACAAGCCCTCTCTTTGCCTGCTGCCATTCAGATAACACGTGACTTGTTCCTCCTTGCCTTCCGCCATGATCGTGAGGCTTCTTCAGCCACGTCGAGCTGTAAGTCCAATTAAACCTCTTTCTTTTGTAAATTGCCCAGTCTCCAGTATGTCTTTATCAACAGCATAAAAATGGACTAATAGAATTGGAAATACTATTAGGTTCACTGTTTTAAGTTTCTTTTCTGTACTACTAGTTTTCTCCACTTTTTATTCTTATTGCTTTAATTTTATTTTTAAATATATGGCACAAAAACATGCTTTGAAAAGACAAATGTTTGCACAAAGATACTTGAATCTGCCTCCCAACACTTTTTTTTCCATATAAACTTTAAGATCAATTTGTCTAGCTCAATGTGAAAACTCACTGGAATTGGATTAAAATCACAAGTTAATTTTAGAGATCATACACATAAGTGCATATTTATGTGGATATATGCCATCCATTCCTATTTTCCCAGGAGTTATTAGAGTGAATATGTGTTGAATCTGATAAAAGTCTTTGTCAGCATCTAAAAATCTATGAAGATAATTTTATAAATTTTCCTATTTAGAGCTGTTATTTCAGTGAATCCTATCAGTAGATTTTCTAATACTGAAACATCCATACATTTCTTGTATAAACACGTTGCATAATGAGGAAGATAACTGGCAAATATTTCAAGTTCTTAGTAAGGAAACCCTAAATCATTAGAATTTCCTGAGTGATAGAAGTTCTTTGTTATAAGTGGTGGGTCCTGATAATTTATGCTAATGAGGTGATCCAGGGTGGTCCTCAGGTAGTTTATGCTAACAAAATGTCTCAGGATAATGGCAGGACACCCCAGCAAGACCAAGCACATGTTTAGAGAGATGGCTATTTTACTTGCCACCCTCCAAGGAAAGGGAAAGAGGATTAGAGATTAAGTTTAATTATATGACCAATGATTTAATTAAACATGCTTATGTAATAATATCCTAGTAAATGAGGGTGTAGCAAGGTGGAGGAATGAAAGGCTACTACATTCATACTTCACTTAGGAATACCAAATTTTAACAACTGTTATAAATAAATTTTCAGTGCCACAAAAGAAATAGCACTCGAATATAAATTTAATTTTCTCATCAAGGTAATTTTTACTTCTATAGAAGGGTGCAACTCGCGGATGGAGCAATGGTGAGAGCACACCTGAACAAGGAGTGGAAGGTCTTTTTATTCCTGATACAGGTAGCCTCTACTGCTGTGTTGTTCCCCTATTGGCTAGGGTTGGACCACACAGTCTAAGCTAATTCTGACTGGCTATTTTAAACAGAGCAGGGGTACGAGTCAGAGTGGTGGGGTGAGTAGTTTGGCAGGAAGGGCACTTAGAGAACAGGTGACTCAGGATGACTCAGGTCAGAGCAAGTGACCAGGGTTGACTCAGGATGGAGCAGGTGACCAGGGGTGACTCAGGATGGAGCAGGTGATAGAGGATAGGAGGATTTTTTTTCTGAAACTAGGGGCAAGGAGATGAAGTGAATGAGGAAGTTAAACTTTAAAATGAAGAACAAAGAACAGGGGAGGTGAATATACTGATACATTGGTTCCTTGCAGAGGATCTCCGAACTCATTGTATTTTACAATTTACAGGCTAAAACCTTTGAAGAGGAATTTATTATATCCTACACAATTATCTGCACATGGAAAAGCACCACCATGAGAATAAAAAATCAGGTGAGTAATCTCAGTACCTGATTTTAATTTCATATTGTTGAAACAGGCATTGAGGAGGGTCAGAAAGATAGTTTTGAATTTTTAATGCCACCATTCCCTCATCTCCCACCAGGGGCCATGCAGCATGAAGAGTCTGCACCAGGAGGAAGAAAAGTACAGTAACTGGAAAACATTACATTGATGTCAGTGCTGCCCTGTCAATAGTAGAGAAGAAAGCCATGCTGGGCTTAGCCAGTGCCTGTGCGTGGAGGGAACGTTTGGACCAGAGCTAGCCATAAAAGAATCACCCATCCTACTGGTCAGAACTCGAGTTTCTTGGCAAGCCACACTGAGAGGACTTTTGGAAACTATATAAAGACATGGCAACTTAAACATATGCTCCTGAATGACTACCGGATCAGTGAAGAAATTAAAAAGGACATTTTTAAACAAATGAGAATGATATTTGGGACAACCAGCATAGTCAAAGTTATCCTGAGCAAAACAAGCAAAACTGGAAGAATTACATTGCTTGACTTCAAATTATACTACAGAGCTATAATAAGCAAAACAGCATGGTCCTGGCATAAAAGCAGACACGTAAACAAATGGAATAGAATAGAAAACATGGAAACAAATCTATATACCTAAAGTGAGTTCATTTTCAAAAAAGATGACAAGAACATACATTAAAGAAAGGAGAGTCTCTTCAATAAATAGTGTTAGGAAAACTGGATATTCATATGTGGAATAATGAAACTTGACCTCTGTCTCTCTCCATATACGAAAGTCAAATCAAAATGTCTTAGAGTCTTAAATCTAAGATATCAAACTAGGAAATCACTACAAGAAAATATTGAAGAAACTCTCAAGGACATTGGGCTAGACAAAAATTTATTGAGCAATACCTCAAAAACACAGGCAGCCAAAGCAAAAATAGACAAATGAAATCACATCAACTTAAAAAGCTTCTGTACAACAAAGGAAACAAAGTGGAGAAGCAAGCCACAGAATAGAAGAAAATATTTGCAAACTACATAACTGACATTGGATTAATAACCAGAACATATAGCTCAAACAACTCTATAGGAAAACATTTAATAATCTGATCAAAAATGGACAAAAGATTTTAAAGGATATTTCTCAAAAGAAGACACAAATGACATTAAAAAAAAGGTGCTCAAAATCATTGCTCATTAGAGAAATGCAGGTGCAGACTCTCCATGCTGCATGACCCCTGGTGGGAAATGCAAATCAAAACCACAATAGTTACTATCTCACTACATTTAAGATGGCTTTTATTCAGAAGACAAGCAATACCAAATGCTGGAGAGGATGTGGAGAGAAGAGAACCCTCCATACACTGTTGGTCGGAATATAAGTTAGTACAATCACTATGAAGAATAGTTTGGAAGTTCCTCAAAAACTAAAAATAGAACTACCATATGATACAGCAATCTCACTACTGGGTATATCCACAAAAGAAGGGAAATTAGTACATCAAAGAGATATCCATACTTCCATGTTTATTTCAGCACTGTTCACAATAGCTAAGATATGAAAGCAACCTAAATAACCATCAACAGACAAATAGATTAAAAAATGTGGTACTTATATACAATGGAGTAATATTCTACCATAAAAAAGAATGAGATCTAGTTATTTGCAACACCACAGATGAAAATGGAGGTCATTATGTTATATAAAATAAGACAGGCACAGAAAAACAAACAGCATTATGTTATCACTTATTTGTGAGATCTAAAAATCAAAACAATTGAACTGAAGAAGATAGAGAGTAGAAGCATGGCTACCAGAGGTTGGAAAGTGTAGTTGGGGGGGGGGGGGAAATAGGGATGTTTAATAGGTACAATAAAAAGTAGAAATAATGAATTTACTATTTGATAGCACAAAAGGGTGACTATATTCACTAATAATTTAATTGTATATTTCAAAGTAAAGAATATAATTGGATTATTGTTTGTAACAGAAAGGTTAAATGATTAAGTATATGGATGCTCAATTTTCTATGATGTAATTATTATGCATTGCATGACTGTATCAAAATATCTCATGTACCTCATAAATATATATGTATCTGCTATGTCCCCACAAAAAATACAAAATTTTTTTATAAAGGAAACTCTGATAAAAACCTTGGACTCAAAGCTCATTCGAGCTTCATGGTTGATAAATATATTGATAGCTGAAGGGTGATACACTCTAATTCCTTAGGGAGAGGATAAAAATATCTGTGTCTAGGACCCTTTCAGATGTCTCTCTATGTGTGTCCTTTATAATAAAGCTGTCATCATAATTATAGCACTTTCCCTGAGTTCTTTGAGTCAATTGAATAAATTATTGAACCTATGAGCATAATGGGAAATCTCTGAATTTATAGCTAGCTGGTCAAAAGTGCAGGTGGCCTGGGAACCAGTGAAGTGTGGCTGGCATCTTAACACTGTAGAGGACTTTGCCCTTAAACCTGTGGAGTCTGATGCTAACTACAGTTTTTTATCAAAATTGAGTTGTATATTGCTGTGTAGAAACTTTTTTGTTGTATTCAGTGTCACTTGTTTACTTTTGCTTTTGTTGCGTGTGCCTTTAATGTCATATTCAAGAAATCACTGCTAAAGCCAATGTCAAGAAGCTTTTTCTACTGTGTTTTCTTCTTTAAATTGTGATGTTTCTCACCTTAGGCTTATGTCTTTAAAACATGTTGAGGCCATTTTTATTTATGGTGTAAGATAAGGGCCCAATTGTATTCTTTTGCATGTGGATATCCAATTTTTCCAACACTATTTGTTGAAAAGACTATCTTTTCTCCATTGTGTATTCTTAGCTACCTTGTCAAAGGCCAGTTGACCATGTATGCCTTGGTGTGTTTCTGGTCTCTCTATACTGTTCCATTGGTCTATGTGTCTATTCTTATGGAAGTGCCATACTGTCTTGATTATTGTCACTTTGTAATATATTTTAAACTCAGGTAGTATTATGCCTCCAGCTTTGTTCTTTTTGCTCAGAAATGTGTTGTTGGCTATTGAGGGTCTTTTGTAGTTTCACATGGATTTTCAATTTTTTTTCTATTTCTGTATAAATTGCAATTGGGATTTTGATAAGGATTGCATTAAATTTGCAGATCACATTGGGTAGTATAGACATTTTTATTCTTAATTTTGTGGGTACATAGTAGGTATATATATTTATGAAGTACATGAGATGTTTTGATACAGCCTGCAATGTGAAATAAGCACATCATGGGGAATTGGATATTCATTCCCTCAAGCATTTATCCTTTAAGTTACAAACAATCCAATTACACTCTTTATTTCAAAATGTACAGTAAAATTATTATTGATTATAGACACCCTGTTGTGCTATTAAATAGTAGGTCTTATTCATTCTTTCTAACTATATTTTGTACTCATTATCCATCCTTACCTCCCCCACCCAGACCCCCAGTACACTTCCAAGCCTCTGGTAACCACCCTACTACACTTTATGACCATCAGTTCAATTGTTTTAATTTTCATATTCCACAAATAAGTGAAAACATGCAATGTTTTTCTTTCTGTGCCAGGCGTATTTAACTCAACATAGTGACCCCCAGTTTCATTCATGCTGTTGCAAATAACTAGCATTTTTTTTAAATGGCTGAATAGAACTCCATGTGTATATGTGACAAATTTTCTTTATCCATTCATCAGTTGATGATGGGCACTTAGGTTTCCAAATCTTAGCTGCTGTAAAGAGTGCTGCAAACAAATATAGACATACAGATATCACTTTGATACACTGATTACCTTTCTTTTGGATATATAAATTGTTATACTGATTTTTTAAAATGTTTTGAGCAGTGGGTTTGCTAAACCATATAGTAGCACAATTTTTAGTTTTTTGAGGAACCTCCAAACTATTCTCCATGGTGGTTGTACTAATTTATATTATGACCAACAGTGTATGATGGTTCTCTTTTCTCCACATCCTCTCTACCATTTGTTATTGCCTCTCTTTTGAATAAAAGTTATCTTAACTGAAGTGAAATAATATCTCATTGTGGTTTTAATTTACATTTCTCTGATCAGTGATTTTGAGCACCTTTTTGTATGCCTGTTTGCCATTTGTGTCTTCTTTTGAGACATGTCCTTTAAGATCTTTTGCCTGGTTTTGATCAGATTATTAGATTTTTTTCTATAGAGTTTTTTGAGCTCCTTATATATTCTGGTTAGTAATTCATTGTCAGATAGGTAGTTTGCAAATATCTTGTTCCATTCTGTGGCTTGCCTTGCCACTTTGTTGATTGTTTCCTTTGTTGTACAGAAGCTTTTTTAACTTGATGTGACCCCATTTGTCCATTTTTGTTTTGGTTGGCTAATTTGTGGAGTATTGCTTGAAAAAGGTTTGCCTAGACCAATGTCCTGGAGATTTTTCCCAAATTTTCTTGTAGGAGTTTCATGATTTGAGGCCTTAGATTTACATCTTTCAGACATTTTGATTTGATTTTTATATATGGTGAGAGATACAGGTCTAGTTTCATTCTTGGGCATATGGCTATTCAGTTTTCCTGGCACCATATACTGAAGAAACTTTTTCTCAGTGTATGTTCTTTGCACCTTTTTTGAAAATGAGTTCACTGTAGGTGTATGGTCTTGTTTCTGGGTTCATTATTCTGTTCCATTGGTATATGTGTCTGTTTTTATGCCAATACCATGCTATTTTGGTTATTACAGCTCTGTAATATAATTTGAAATCAGGTCATGTGATTACTACAGTTTTTTATTTTTTTTTTTTTGTTGTTGTTGTTTTGTTTTGTTTGCTTAGGATATTGTTGGCTACACTGGGCCTTTTGTGGGTCCATATAAATTTTAGAATTTTTTTTCTATTTCTGTGTAGGATGCCATTGGTATACTGATAGGTATTGCATTGAATGTGTTAATTGCTTTGGGTAATGTGTACATTTTCACAACATTGATTCTTCCAGTCCATGAACTTGGAATATTTTTCTATTTTTTGGTGCCCCCTTCAATTTCATTCATTAGTGTCTTCTAGTGTTTATTATACAGATCTTTTACTTCCTTGGTGAAATTAATTCCTAGGTATTTAATTTTACGGGTGGCTATTATAAATGGGATTACCTTTTTTTTTTTTTTTGAGTTGAAGTCCCACTTTGTCACCCAGGCTGAAGTGCAGTGCCATGATCTCAGCTCACTGCAACCTCTGCTTCCTTGGTTCAAGTTATTTTCCTGCCTCAGCCTCCCCAGTAGCTGGGATTAAAGGTGTGTGCCACAACACCTGGCTAATTTTTTTTTTTTTTTTGGTATTTTTAGTATAGACAGGGGTTTTCCATGTTGGCCAGACTGGTCTTAAACTCCTGACCTCAAGTGATACACCTGCCTCAGCCTCCCAAAGTGCTGGGATTATACACGTGAGCCACCATGTCCAGCTATAAATGGGATTACATTTTGGAGATAAGCGTATCTTGGAGGAAAGCTTTTCAGTTTCTTCCAATTCAATATGATAGTTGATGTGGGAATATTATATATGTCTTTTATTGTGCTTAGTTGTGTTCATTCTATCCCCAGGTTTTTGAGAGTTTTTATCATGAACAAATGTTGAATTTTATCAAATGCTTATTCAGCATCAGTTGCAGTAATCATATGGTTGTTATCCTTCACTCTGTTGATATATCACATTGTTTATTTGCACATGTTGAATCATCCATGCATCTCAGGGATAAATCTCACTTGGTCATGATAAATAATCTTTCTAATACATTGTTAAATTTTCTTGAGAATTTTTGATTCACTATTCATCAGAGATATTGACCTGTGGTTTCCTTTTCTTGATGTATCTTTGTCTGGTTTTGGTATCGGGGTAATACCGGCCTCATAAATCCTCATAAATTAAGTTTGGAAGCATTGCCTCCACTTATATTTTTTGGAATAGTTTGAGTAGGATTAGTATTAGTTTTTCATTAGATGTTTGATAGAATTCAGCACTGAAGTCATTGGGTTCCA
Organism: Homo sapiens; assembly: GCF_000001405.40. NCBI lineage: Eukaryota > Metazoa > Chordata > Mammalia > Primates > Hominidae > Homo > Homo sapiens. The sequence continues at coordinate 166,657,055 of NC_000003.12, read as the reverse complement.
GGCTTTTCTTTAGGGGAGACATTTTATTATGATGTCAATCACATTACTTGATATTGATCTGTTCAGGTTTTAGATTTCTTCCTGGTCCTGGTTTAATCCTGGTAGTTTGTATGCATCTGGAAATTTGTACATTTTTTCTAGATTTTCAACTTATCAACATATAGTTGCTCATAGTGACCACTAATGATCCTTTGAATTTCTGCAGTGTCAGATGTAATGCCTCTTTTTTCACTTCTCATTTTATTTATTTGTGTCTTTTCTCTTTTTTTTCCTTTTAGTTTCTTATAGTGATTTTGGGTTTGGTTTGCTCTTGCTTTTCTATTTTACTGAAAGCCTCATTAGATTGTTTACTTAAAGTTTTTTTGTTTGTTTCTTTCGATGGAGGGACTTATAGCTATAAACTTTCCTCTGAGTACTGTTGTTGCTGTATCCCACAGGTTTGGGTATGTTGTGTTTCCATTATCATTTGGTTCAATAAATTTTTCAATTTTCTTCTTAATTTCTTCATTGAACAACTGTTCATTGAGGAGCACATTGTTTAATATCCATGTTTTTGTATAGTTTTCAAAATTTCTCTTCTTATTAATTTCTAATTTTATTCCATTGTGTTTGAGAAGTTGTTTGATATTTCAATGTTTCTGAATGTTTTTAGATTTGTTTTGGGATCAAACATACGGTCTATCCTTGAGGATTATCCATGTGCTGGGTAAAAGAATGTGTGTCCTGCAACTCTTGAATAAAATGTTTTGTAAATATCTAACAGATCTATTTGGTCGATAGAGCCAATTAAGGCTAATATTTGGACAATCTGTCAAATGCTGAAAGTGGGGTGCTGAACTCTTCAGCTATTATTATATCAGAGCCTGTATCTCTCTTTAGCTTTAATAATATTTGCTTTATATATCTGTGTGCACCAGTTTTGGGTGCATATATATTTAAAATTGTTATACCTTCTTACTGTATTGACCCCTTTATCCTTATATAGTAACCTTCTGTGTCTCTTCTTATAGTTTTTGTCTTGAACTCTATTTTGTCTGATATAAGAATAGTGAGTCCTTCTCTTTTTAAATTTCCATTGGCATGGGATATATTTTTTCTAGCTCTTTATTTTCATTCTAAGTGTGTCTTTACAGGTGAATAATGTTTCTTGTAAGCAACAGACTAATGGGTGCTGTTTTTTATTCATTCAGACACTCTATGTCTTTTGATTGGAGAGTTTAGTCCATTTACATTTAATGTTATTACTGATAAGTAAAATCTTACTCCTGCTATTTTGTCATTTATATAATGTTTACTTTGTTATCTTCTCTTCCTTCTTTCTTCCCCTCCTGTCTTCCTTTAGTGAAGGTACATTTCTCTGGTGATATTATTTAGTTTCTTGCTTTTTATTCTTTGTGTATCCATTCATGTGTTTTGGTTTGATGTTGCTACGAGGCTTGGAAATACTACCTTATAACCCATTATCTTAACTTGATAACAACTTAACACTGTTTGCATAAACAAACAATCAAAAAGTAAGCCAATAAAAACTCGATGCTTTATCTTTGTCTCTATGCTTTTTAACTTTTGGTTCTATTTATATCTTATTGTGCTAACCCTGTCTTGAAAAGTTGTTGCACTTATTACTCTTTATTGCTTCATCATTTATTCTTTCTACTCAGAATAAAAGCAGTTTACACATGACAGTTACAGTGTTATAATATTCTGTGTTTTTTGTGTACTTACTATTACCAGTGAGATTTGTATCTTCAGATGATTTCTTATTGCTCATTAATATCTTTTTCTTTCTGATTGAAGTATTCCCTTTAACATTTCTTGTAGGAAAAGTCTGGTGTTGATGAAATCCTTCATATTTTGTTTGCCTGGGAAAGTCTTATTTTCCTGGGAAAGTCTTATTTTCCTTTATGTATGAAAGATATTTTTTCAAGGTACACTATTCTAGGGTATTTTTTCCTTCAGCACTTTAAATATGTAATTCAACTCTCTCCTGGTCTGTAAGGTTTCCACTGAAAAGTTTGCAGCCAAACACATTGGAGCTCCATTGTATCTTATTTGTTTCTTTTCTGTTACTGCTTTTAGGATTCTTTCTTTATCCTTAAATTTTGGGAGTTTGATTATTAAGTGCCTTCAGGTATTCTTCATTGGCTTAAATCTGCTTGGTGTTCTATAACTTTCTTATATTTGAATATTGATATATTTCACTAGGTTTGTGAAGTTATTATCCCTCTGAATAAAATTTTTTAATCCTGTCTTTCTCTACCTCCTCTTTAAGGCCAGTAAGTCTTAGATTTCTCCTGTTGAGCCTATTTTCTAGATCCTGTATGTGTGCTTCACTGTTTTTATTCTTGTTTCTTTTGTCTCCTCTGACTGTATATTTTCAAATAGCATTGAAAATTGCTAAATTTCAAATTTCAAATTTTTCATGTTCACCATTTCTTTCTTCTGCTTGATCAAATGTGCTATAAAAGAACCCCATTGCTTAATTCAGCATGCCAATTGCATTTTCAGCTCCAGAACTTAAGTGTAATTGTTTTTAATTATTTCAATCTCTTAAATTTATCTGACAAAATTCTGAATTCCTACTCTATGTTATCTTAAATTTCTTTGAGTTTCATCAACAAAGCTATTTTGACTTATCTTTCAGGAAGGTTGCTGTTTCTCCAGGATTGTTCCTTGGTGTCTTACTTAGTTAATTGGGTAAAGTCATGTTTTTTCTTTTTTTGGATGGTGTTGATAGTAATAGATGTTCTTCAATGCCTTGGCATTGAAGTAGGGTATTTATTGTTGTCTTCACTATTTGGGCTTATTTGTACTTGTCATTATTGGGAAGGCTTTCCAGACATTTGAAAGAACTTGAGTGTTGTGATCTAAGCCGTATCTGCTTTAGGAAGCACCAGAAGCCCATTAATGCTCTGGTTCTTGAGGACTCATGCAGGTTCCACTTTGATGGTCTTGAACAAGATCCTGGAGAATTTTCTGGATTACCAGTCAGAGATTCTTGTTCTCTGCCCTTACTTTCTCTAAAATAAACAGAGTCTCTCTCTCTGTTCTTAGCCATGCAAAGCTTTGGGTAGAGTAATACACGCATCCTTTTGGCCCCCACCAGTGTGAATGCACTGGGTCAGACCTGAAGCCAGCACAGCACTGGGTCTTGCCCAATGTCTGCTATAATCACTCTCTGGATTTTGTCTACGTTCACTGCAGGCCCTGGGGCTCTACCGTCTGCCAGTGGCAAAAACATCTAGACCTGAGTTCTTCCCTTCAGGGCAGTGAGGTTCCCCAGTCCCTGGGTGAGTCCAGAGGTGGTGTCTGGGAATCAGGGGCTAGAATAAAAAATCTTGGAAGTTTACCTGGTGTTGTATTCTATTGTGGCTGAGCTGGCAGTCAAACCACAAGATGCAGTCTTTCTCACTCTTTCCTCCCTTTCCCAACGGCAGAGGAGCCTCACTCGGTAGCCATAACCACTCCAGGCATCGAGGAATACTTCACAGATGTTCTGTTAAGAACCAAGGGCTCTTAAGTCAGTTGGTTGTGAATACTACCTGATCTGGGACTCACTCTTCAGGACAGTGGGCTCCCCTCTGGAGTAGGGCAGTTCCAGAAATGCCAACTAATAGTCAAGTCCTGGTATCACGGACCCCAAGAGCCCACTTGGTGTTCTACCCCTCTGTGGCTGTGCTGGTACTCGTGGCCTAAGATAAAGTCCTATTTACTTTTCCCTCTACTTTTCTCAAACAGTATGAATTTTGACCTATAGCCACAATAGCTGGTTATGTGCTGAGTCTCCCCTGAAGCCAGCTCATCTCAGAGACTCAGTCAATGCCCTCTGTATAGTATTACCTGGGAATTACTGCCAGTTACTCAGGTCCAAGGGCTCTTAGGTTAGCAGGTGATGAATGCTTCCCACTCTGGGTCTTTTCCCTCAAGACATTCGATTCCTTTCTGTTGGGTAGTGGGGCCATATTCTTTATAAATGGCTTGGTGGTCTCCTCTCCATAATGAGTTCTGGCTCTGAGTTCACAGTGAGATTTGGTTGTTTAAAAAATGGTGGCATCTCCCTTTTTTCTCTCTCTGGTTCCCCCTCTTACCGTGTGAGGCACCTGCTCCCCCTTCCCCTTCCACCATGACTGGAAGCTTCCTGAGGCCCTCACCAGGAGTAAATTCTGGTGCTATGTTTTCTGTTCAGCCTGTAGAACCATAAGCCAAAATAAACCTATTTTCTTTAAAAATTACTCAGCCTCAGATATTTCTTTATGGGAATGCAAAGGGATTAACACATTCACATTTATTGATTTGTATATGTTGAATCACCCTTGCATCCTAAGGATAAACCCTGCTTGCATATGCTGTATGATTGTTTCAATGTGTTGTTGAATTCAGTTTGTCTAACATTTTATTTAGATTATTTCTTAGAGTTTTCATATGTCAGCTTACATTGTATGTCCTTGAATTTTGTCTATTATTTTCATTGGATGCCTGAATATACTAATTATAGTTTGGTATTATTGTGTGTCTAATGTAAAACTAATGCTTGCTTGTCTTTTCATACTATGTTTTTTTCTGTTTTTTGTTTGTTTGTTTTGTTTTGTTTTTCTTTGCCTTTTATCCTCCTTTGTAAGTTTTTGCATTTTTTTTTACATTTTTGTATTGTTGATAGCCAGGCATGATTTACTATATAATAGGCCCTGAGTATATATGGCTATAGTTTTTCTATAATTTAGAAATAAATTGGTCATAATTTCTTTTTAAGTTTTTCTGACACCTTTAGTCTTTCCTCCTCTGGTGCTTCAAATTCATGTCAGAAGAATTGATATTGTCTCAGATTTTATGCTGGCTTGTTTGTTTCTCTCTGAATTTCAGTTTGCATATTTTTATTGCTTTGTCTTCAAGTTCACTTCTCTTTTCTTCTACAGTATATAGTCTGCTTCACTTCTATTTAATATTTTTACTTTTTATCATTAAAATTTATATTTTTCTTTGCTGTATGTATCTATTTATTTATTTATATTTATTTATATGCATACTTCCTTTAAGTGTTTTGGCATATTAAGCATATACACAATAGCTTTTTTAATGTCATTGTCTACTAATTTTATCACTTGATAGATGTGAATCTGTTTCTATTGACTTATTTTCTTCTGGTTATAGGTTACTTCTTTTTTTTTTGTTAGCGCTAGTAATATTTTGAACTCTAGACATAATTACCACATGTTGGGTGTCTGTATTTTGTTTTCTTCTTCTCTGTCTTTAAGAAAAATATTTTTAAAAGCTTAATAAAAATGGGATTCACATACCTTAGGAGATGTGTGTGTGCGTGTGTGTGTATGCAAATATACATATGTCATATATATGCTCAATAACATTTGATATACTGACATTGTCAAGTAAAATTAGCTTCACAAAAGATATTCTTATTACTTTAGGATATATTGAGTCTCCTGCTTTTTATTTATTCTTTTTATTTTATAGAAAAATATCACACTTTAATGAAATGTTGAATTGCATTTTTTATTCCTATAATAGGTTTACTTATAGTTTATTACCTCTTCTGAAAATATGCTCTTCTCTTTTTTTAGCCCTATTTTAAATGAATTATTAGATTCTTATAAGTTCCTAGAATATAAATTTTGAGTTGATTTAGATTAAAAAAACTGTAGCTATGTTAATACAATTTTGAACTTCAAAGAGTAAAGCTTGCAAAATATTAAAATAGAAGCCATAGTGAAAATTTATACACAAATTATTTTGCTGGAAACTACAACAGCATTAAAAACAACAACAAAAAATACTCATTGTGTGATATTTCTAGTCATGAAAAAACCACTTTGAAAGATCCAAAAAAATAAATGTATGTAAAACATTTGAAAATAATTTTATCTGTTATGACTCACTAAGGTCTCCTATATCTACATTTGATTTGTTCCATTCTGATTATGGCACTTATAATATTCTGTATCTCTCTAAAAATTTTTACAGTGCTACTTGTGTTTATGCCTTATTTTCTCCACAACATTGTAAGCCCTTGAGGTCAGGGACTGTGTGTTATTTAGCTATATGTTTCCATTATTACCCAACACAATGTTTTGAACACTGCAAGACATAATTTAACATGTTTAATTCAATAAAGTTTCAAAGTCTCATGATAAATATTTTAAAATTTACATTAAAGTACATTTAAAATAATGTTATAAAATAAAGATAGAGTATTTAAAAAAAAATTGCGAATATTGACGGCTTTCTTAAAAATGTTAATCAGTGTAAAAATACATAGATTTTCCAAAATACAGAACGCAAGTAGTTGCCACAGCTAGAAATCTAGATCTTGTAATTTTTTGACAAAAAATTGAGAGCCTGCATTAACAATAGACTTGCATCAAAAATTACTAACATATGGTTTTCAAGGATAAGGAAAATGATCAAAAGATGTATTGTTGAGGGTGTAGGAAAGAATAAAGAGCACTAAATATGTGGGAAAATCTCAACAGAATAGACTGTATAGGTAATATAAAATGTCTTCTGGAACTTAAAACACATAATTGCATGCCATTTGAGAGATGAATAAAGGAAATTAAGTGTTTTAAGAAATCCAGTGTTCTAAGATTACCCAGAAATCGTGAAACATGTATCAATTAACATTACATTTTGATAAATCAAGGAGGCAGTTTGTAAATTCTATGTGTTCACAAAAAGGACTTTATTTATTTATTTATTTATGATAGAGTCGTGCTCTGTCACCCAGGCTAGACTGCAGTGGCACTATCTCGGCTCACTGAAACCTCTGCCTACCGGTTCACATGATTCTCCTACCTCAGCCTCCCGAGTAGCTGGGATTACAGGTGCCCACCACCGCGCCAGGCTAATTTTTGTATTTTTAGTACAAACGGGGTTTCACCATGTTGGACAGGCTGGTCTCAAACTCCTGACCTTGTGATCCACCCACCTTGGCCTCCCAAAGTGCTAGGATTACAGGCGTGAGCCACCATGCCCAGCCAAGGATATTATAACTTCTAAACACCAAAGGAGCAACAACAACAACAACAAAAATAGTAAAAAGCAACCATTTCTTTCTTCCTCTCTTCTGTCTTGAATAATTCCATCAAAGATTATTAAGTGGGGCCAAGTAAAGTGAGTTTCTGATTTTGTTTGTTGGGAGGATGGGGACAGGTGGCCACTAGGATGAGATACAGGAAAGAGCAGAGAGAAGACACAGAGGTTCCACATAACTTGGTTAGGTTAGTGATGTCCATATAGGAGTGAAGAGGGCATAGTGCAGGGTAACAGTGGTGATAACAGTGGCTGGCTAGGGCAGGATATTAAAACCTGAACTAAGTCAGGAAAGGATGCAACAATGGCAATAGAAGTTTGGCTTATAAAGGAATAATTGATTCAGTAAGTATTGAGATAACTTATTGAATACTGTTAGAGGAGTTACAATTGTGGAAAGAGAGAAAACTTGAATTAATGCTATGTGTTAGATTGGATTTGGAAATATACTATTGATCTGATGATTTTTATTACACGTATCTGTATATACATATGTGTTTGTGAGTGTGTGTGTGTTTGTGTTCACCAGCTCTGTTGTCAACCAAGTGGACCAAGGAGCATCAACAGTCCAATAGTGATGATCACTCTTATGGACCAGATATTTTTTTCTACAAATAAGAGTCTTTAGAAAAGTGGAAAATGTCAAGGCTAGGAAAAAAAATTAAAACATGATACTGCAGAAGTAAGCAAAGAAAAATGAGGACATGTTGAAAGGGTACAGAAAAAAGTTTAAAAGGTAACCCAGAGTCCAAATCTGGGGCAATTTAAACATCAGTTTAAATAATCATATTGAAGTATGTTATCCCATTAATTAAAATAGGAAATCATAAATTCATATTGACATAAATGAATAAGTTATTTCTTACATCACAATGGCTACTAATAAATGTAAAAGGAATAATTGAATTAAAAATTCATCCATAGTATTGATGCTAATTCAACCAAGTAACAGCAATAGATGCCACAGCTACTCAGTGAAAGCTTGATGATGAGTGGGAAATTTACGTAGTCTCAATTTACCTTCCCACATAACACTAATTAACTACAAGAAAAAATTAGTAACTGTATGGTAGAGAAACAGGGATGATTTAATCAGGTGATTAAATTAATGTTTAAAGTAATGAAACACATTCAAAATAGTGGGACAAACGGAAATTGTGGGCCATCTGATAAAGTGCAATTCCTGCCAAATATGCTTCACCATAATGAGAAAGCATTCAATAAACATAAATTAAGAATCATTTAGAAAATAATTGGCTTATATGCTTTAAATATTTTATAGTCATGAAAGACAAAGAAATCTCAAGAACTCTTTCCAATTGATGTAGACTAAAGAAGTATGAAAACAAAATGCAATGTATAATCTTTCATTGATTCATGTTTTCCTAAAGTTGAAACACGAGTAGGGTCTATGAATCAGATGGTAGTATTGTACCACTGTTAACTTTTATTTTTTATTTTTGTTTTATTCTGATTACATGAGAGAATACCTTTTTTTTTTTTTTTAATACGGAGTCTTGCTCTGTCGCCCAGGCTGGAATGCAGTGATGCGATCTCGGTTCACTGCAAGCTCTGCCTCCCGGGTTCACGCCATTCTCCTACCTCAGCCTCCCGAGTAGCTGGGAATACAGGCACCCGCCACCATGCCCAGCTAATTTTTTGTGTTTTTTTTAGTAGAGACGGGGTTTCACCGTGTTAGCCAGGATGGTCTCAATCTCCTGACCTCGTGATCCACCCGCCAATACCTTTATAAGATAAATTATACACTAAAGTGCTTGAGGTAATGAGATACCTTGTTGTCACATTTCACATAACTTGGAAACAAAAATAAAACACTGTCTAGATTTCACTGTCTAGAATATCAGGGAACAAAGGGAGACTTCAGGGAAGAGAATGAAATATGGAGTCTGTGTTAACTATGAAATAAGTTTTCAAGAGTAACCTAGAAAGATTGTGGAGGGAGAAAGGCAATATGTTAATACAAGGTCAAAAAACAGGAGGCTATAAGAATGAGAGCTAAGGTAGAAAGGATAATCAGAAGAAAGTATATATCATGCAATACAGAGAACATCTGAGGCATCTATTAGAGCATGGTGAATTTAGTCAGCCATAAGGTAGCAAGAAAATTAATCTTATCAGACTTTTAGTAAGTATATGGCATCTCAAACTTTTCAGAATTTAACTGTATTTAGGAAATGCTATATTTTCATGAGTGTTTAACCAATAGAGATTTAGGAGAGTACTTTCCTTGCACCACAAGTTATTACCTGGCTCATATTTGAGAGCTGAAGGAGAGGATAAAGCATTGCCTAAACTATGGCAAATAGACAAAAAGAGATTTTATAATTATAGTAGATACGTTGCTTACCAATAAGTATAATAAAAACTCTGACTTAGGTCTAGCTAATGGATAGACAAGTAACAAAATTATGAATTTTAGCCTTCTCCAGTTTCATGTAAAGCTCCTTGTTATGGTGAAATGAATCCTTGATATTTTGACATCTATAGTCCAATTGTTCATTCTTCTCATATTTTATGCTGTCACAAATTATTTATCAGTAGACACATCTTTTTGAGATCCTACAACTGATGGTTTATCTATAACATTTAAAATCATCTTCCCTCATCTTTCATGTCGGAAATAGATTTAACTATTTATTTGTATTCCTACTATGATTTGCATATAATTTGACTATACAATTAGTGTTTCAGTCATTTAACTCCAAGTAGGCTTCTTCAGACAGGGGCAATATGGTTTTATATTTACCCTTTTCAAATCTTTCACAGTACCAGAACAGTCTCAATTATTATTATTTTTATTGGTAGCTAATGTTTGCCTGCCTTTATTGCTGCTCTCTCAATCAAAATATACTCCTGGCAAGAGCAATAGGATAATGCATATTTCACATCTACCTTTATTATTATTATTATTAAATCAGAGTAGCTCTCCTTTTCATCTCTAAATTGCATTTCTTCCTACTCCATCCAATAATTTCTGTATGGCACTGTCGAGTTCTTATTTCGCTCTGCCCTCCTAAACAACTTGGTTACCCTGGGAATAAGTGAAACGTAAGTGAGACTAGACCATTGAGTCCCTTCTCAGAGATTTTTCCACGTAGAAAATGAAATCTTCCATTAAAGATTATAACCTTTGCCTTGTAGAAAAGTTATAAAAGTTCAAATAATAATAAGATTTAAATTCTATAGATATCATCTCTTGCAATGTGGAGAATGATGGTCTTTTTTGAGAAAAAATGACACTGCAAAGCATGAAGAAATACTAACATTAAATTCAGGAAAAGTCAGAAACTTTCTGTACTCTTCCCCGATTTCAGATTTCCCTGAGCTTCTTCCAGCTATAGTTCTGTAAACCAAAAATAAAACTCTAAGCCCCCTTACCAACCTTCTGAATTCACCTCTCCTCTTGTCAAGGGAATTCCATAGCTAACCGGAAAAACTAATTCAGGCTATGATGGGAAGGAAGGGGTTAGACATGCCTAATTACATCCTCCACCCTTTTGTAATTAAGGATAGAACAGAGTCTTCAAGTCTGAAACGATACATTTACAATCCATTCTCTCCAAAGCCTGCTACCTGGAGGTTTCACCTGCAAAGTAAAACCTTTGTCTCCACAACTCCTTATCTTAACCCAGACAGTCTTAAGTCTTTAGAGAGTAACTTAACTCTTTCAACAAATTACAAATCAGAAAATCTTTGAGTCTACCTATGACCTGGAAGCAGATGCTTTCACTTGTCTTGCATTTCTGGACCAAACCAATGTACATTTTACATGTATTTGATTGAAGTCTCATGTGTCCCTTAAATGAATCAAACTAAGCTGTACCCCGACCACCTTGGAAACATGTTCTCAGGATCTCTGACAACTGTGTCACAGGCCATTGCTCACTCATATTTGGCTCAGAATAAATCTCCAAATACTTTACAGAGTTTGACATTTTTCATTAACAGTCTCATTTTTGGCTTCAGGAAATCACCAATATTCTTAGAATAAATTCTCCTTGGATACTATTTTTTATTGAATAGTAAATGGAGCCCAAAGAATCCTAATTTTATACTATCTAGCTTTGATATTCAGGAAATATTTGGCTCATTCTTGAGTCTACAGCTACATTCTTTCCAGGTCCACCTATTTTCTTGCTTGGAAACCAATTTTATGTTATCTGTTGGTAAGTTAATTATCTGTTGCTAAAAAAAATCATAAAAGTAGTTGCTCTTTGAATTTTATGAGTCTATTTCATGCAATATGATTCTCCTAGGTATTATAAATGTAGTTATAAGTATATATATTTTTATTTCATTTGTACTATGGGAAGAACCTAAACTGGATCTTAAAAACAGGGCCAGTGTGAGATAGAAGATATGTCACTTTCTTGTTACAAATTTTTCAGGCACATTTTATTATTTTAGAATAAGTGCAGCATTGGCACTAAATGCAATGTATTTTATGTAATATAAAATAATTATTGTTAGAAACACACTCTTAAAAGCAAGGAAAATAGATTATCTTAGTAGAAAATTAGAAAGGTAATCATATGTGAATATAAACAAATAGGAGAAAAGTGAACAAACTATTATTCAGAATCAATAAGCAAGGAATGCATATTATTTTATCATTACTATTGAATAAATTTTTAAAGTCCTTAATCTGTAGTATACTATAACTTTATAAAGATATTATTCTATACATTCCATATTCTATATGTGAAGTTGAAGTCTGCAAGGCACTAAAAAAAACCCATGATGTAAAGAGGGAAACCAATTGGATCAAGATGCTGTGACCCAAAACGACTCAGCAGCTAAAGAACTGACCTTGGTACTTTACTATAGTCACTACAGATAGCATCCCCCACTTCCAATCCATTGTAGGAAAAATTCCAGGAAATGTAAAGTAAAAGGATGTGCATTTGAGCCTTTTGAGTAATCAAGAGAAAGGTTCCTGAATGAATTAGGAGTACTTTCTTTTCATTCTAGAGGAGAAAAGAAAGAGATTTATTTTTCTCCATTTTCCAAAGAGGGAAGTCAAGTTGAAGAAATGCTCTATAAGAGAAACTGTTGTAAAATTTGTGTATGCTTGATAGGAAGCCTGGTTATATAGAATTACTGAATCTCTAGCTCCCCGACCCGACCTCGCACGTATCATGTGTTGCCACCAGAACAATAAATGCTGAGTTAATTCTTAATATGTGATTTCTGAATTTGTTTTTCTGTATCCATGTGGGAGAGGGAGGAGAGCATTTGGAAACGTCAATCATCATCTGAATATTCTGAAAGTAGGATGCTAATAGAGTAGCTCATTCTATGACATAAATCTGGTGAAACATGTAGAGTGGTCACCTACAGTTCAATTTCCAGTGACCTTAACCAATGAACAGGAGCTGACTGTGACTCAGGCCTTAGAGACAAGTGAAGAGAGAGAGAAAGATATAGTCATTGTAGAGTCTCATGTGAAATGTAGTGCCTCTCTCCCCCTTTTTAAAGGAAAGTAGAAAATGCTGAATACCAACCAAATAAACCATGCTCAACATCCACATGGAGACTGCTATGCAAGCCAAGGTCACTAACAAAAAGTTGAAACAGTCTGAGGTACAGTAAGGCTGGGACATATATCTCCTACTGAATTATTGCTGGGAATGTAATTCAACATCTAAACCACTGGATCATGAAAATGAAAACCATCTACAGTCAAACAACTTAGTATCCACATTAGCATGGATTTACTAATTGATTATTGATATTAACATGATTATTGTAATCAACACTTTGCTTTAACATGGATACTATTTCAGAAAAGTATTGCTCAAAAAATAAAGTTGCAATAACTTCATTTATTTCAACTTCCTGAAAATTTATTTATATTAGCAACATCCTACTCAACTTTCTGTCATATGGGTAAATGGGCACTTCTCAAAATAACAGCTATCACTTAACTATTGACTTGATTGGTGTGTTCATCAATTCTAAACAATTATATCATAAATTTTGCCTAATCTCAATTAGGCTTCACATTGAGTGGTCTGCCTTAAATCAAACCTTATCAATGTTCTACTTTTGATGTTGGTCTTCTAGTGTATTACAAAGTGGAATACAGTGAGCATAAACTTGGCTTAACATGATTATTTTATTTTGATGATTTCTTCCAGGGAGTCTTCATTTGACAGCTATAATAGCTGAATCTACTTTTTAATTGTTTTGGCTAGGATTTAGTGTACTGAAATTCCAAATAGTTACCTATTTTATGGGATTTATATATTACAATAGTCATGAGATTACATGCAGCCAATGTAGTCACATAAAAAGAAGAATTTTAAGTGAAAAAAAGGAAGATACACAAAAATAGGTACAGAGTGCTTTGTTTGGGGAAAAGAAATCTATGCATGTATATGGGTGCATGTGATAAAAATATTTACGAGCATGTATAAGAAACAAGTGACAGTGTATATACTTAAAACATAGATAATAAAGTTAGGGGTATGTAGGATAACTTTTTATATTATTCCCCTTTCTATTTTAGTGTATTTTAAAAATGAATTTATGTATTATTTGTAGCTGAAAATATTGTGTATGTTTTTGCAAGTGATACAATAAAAAGACCTTTGAAATAAGAACTATGAAATATTGTTTAAAGTTTGACATTGACTAAGTAATAACTAAGAAGTTCTTTAACTTCACTGGGCCCAGTTTCCTCATTCATATATGGAAGATGATCATTTTTCATCATTGTTTTCCACTATTTTCTATTATGAAATCATATTTACAACTATGTAACTGAGTATAAATATAACTACTTTTATATTTTAATCTCAAATAACTGAGTAGATGTGTAATCTGAATTCAAATGTAGCTTATTCTCCTAGTCATTCTGTAATAATTTTTAATAAATGTATGCATCCTTGCATAACTAGAAAAATTCAGATAATCTATAAACTTAAAATAAGATGGTGTCTATAATTGATTGGTTTATTTCTGTAAAATACATTGAATATTTTGGGTTCAGAATTCCTTCTTGGTCAAAATAATTGAAAAATATCTTAGAATGAAAATCTATTACTGTGAAAATGCCAAAAGTACTTCATTATAGTAGGATAAGTTGTTTAGAATAAGTTGTATTAGTTTTATGTTGCTGCTATAAAAAAAAACTAGTACAAACTTAGTGGCTTAAAAGAACAAGTCTATAAATCAGAAATCCATTACAAATCTTACAAGGCTAAAACCAAGATGTCTGGAGAACTGTGTTCCTTACTGGAAGCTCTAGGGAAGAATCTGTTCTCATGCTTTAAAAGGACATACATGTTCCTTGGTTCATGGGCCTATTCCTCCGTCTTCAAAGTCTGAAACAGAAGTTAAGTACTTATCATGTCTCATTACTCACCTCTCCTTTTTTCTCCCTCTTCTACTTCTAAGCTCACTTGTAATTACTTTGTGCCCACTTGGATAATTCAGGGGTAGCTACCCATTTTAAAGTCAGCTGGTTAGTAACCTTAATTTCATCTGCAACCTCGATTTCCTTCTTCAATGTACCCTAACGTATCTACCAGTTTTGAAAATTAGGATATGTGCATCTTTGAGGGGGTCATTATTCTTCCTATCACAAGTATGTTTTAATCTTTTTCTAAAGTTTTTTTTTTTTTCAAAAATAGATGAAACACTAAAGTGTTTGCTACCTATTTCAGTATTTATTACTCTAAATGTCAAGACAGTTATAAATGCCTAACTCAGTAACGTCCCTTTTCACTAAAAAATAATTCATCTTATTTGACTCTCCTTGAATATGCTGATGTGAATGTCAGCAATTCTTATGGAAATTACCATCCCATAAACTTAAAAAGGCAATCAAATCAGCCATTAAGCAGGAGACCCAATTTTTAGAAATCTTAGTTCACATGTTCTCTTGTCTATTGATCTTTCTTTCTCCTTACTTATTGCACCTACCTTCTGTACCATGGATCATGTTGCCTGTTGTTTTCTATACACAATCCCAATATTTTCACATTTATTTTTTTAAAGTTTTAAAAGAAGGAAAACATTTTTATAGCAATATGAAATATGTAGTTAGACTAATACAACTTTAGCTCTTTGAATGGAAAGCTCAATTTTATAGCATACTCATGAAGAAATTTGCTTTTCATTAAAATAGAATGTTTTACAAATCTTGGCCCTGTTTTTACTAGCTCTGTAACCTCTAAAAAACTACTAGGGTGGGCGCGGGGGCTCACGCCTCTAATCCCAACACTTTGGGTCGCGGCGAGCAGATCACCAGGTCAGGAGATGGAGACCATCCTGGCTAACACGGTGAAACCCCATCTCTACTAAAAATACAAAAAAATTAGCTGGGCGTGGTGGCGTGCTCCTGTAGTCCCAGCTACTTGGGAGGCTAAGGCAGGATAATTGCTTGAACCCGGGAGGCAGAGGTTGAAGTGAGCCGAGATCGCGCCACTGCTCTCCAGCCTGGGTGACAGAGCGAGACTCCATCTCGAAAAAAAAACAAAAAAATGCTAATTTATTTTAAACTTTAGACTCCTTTTCTGAGATGCAAGAATAATAATCTTTCTTTAATGAGGTGTTTATAAGGACAAAATGACACAGTGTCTGTAAAATGCTTAGCATATTACACCACCTTGAGTAAAGTTTGAATAAGTATGTTTTATTTTGAATATTACATTTATTTAGGATAATAGAAGAATGACACTATGAAACAGTGATTCTCAGCTGTCATTACACTACACCACACAGCATGTACAATCTCCTGAATGAACAATTGCCCTTTATTTTATGTTGTGGTATTATGTAAAATTTCACATTATAATGATAATTGTAACTCTTTGCAACAGACATCTTAGAAACAAAACAGTGTGCCGTGGGTCATGGTTTAGAAATACAGGGTAGAGAATATCTAAAGTTGGTTGAAGAATAAGTTCTAATTACCATAGAGTACTATATACATAAAAAGAGTACTGGGGAATAAGATTGCAAATAAAAGTTGAGATGTAACTGAGAGTGCATTGTGTAGCATTCACTATAGAGCATTATATAGACAAAAATAGAAGCTGTCATATTCTTTCTTGTAACTTATTATTAGAAAAGTGGTATAAATACATATAAAATGGTAAGAGCCCACATAATTTAACTCAAAATTTAAAGGTAAAAAATACTAATAGAGGGTATAATTGGGTGGAGATTAATTTTTGTGTAGATTTTTATAAGCAATAATTTTCTAAAAATAACATGTTGCTTTTATAATCAGTAGAAAATACTTGATGCCATTGAAAAACTTAAATACTTTCTACAATATTAGGCTTTTAAAAATTAATTAAGAATTAAAAATGAGGGTAATGTGAATATAATTGAAATCATGTAAGTTTGGCATTTATCTACTGAACAATTATTTATATCTGGCCTAATTTGTATCACATACTATTGTAGTATGAAAATAATGTAACTGAATACTGCATTAAGCTTTAAAAGATAGAAATATTTCATCAGAGTATAAAATATCAAGACTGTATTAATAATGTGACATAATTTCACAAATAAGTTTTTCAAATTTATCCAACTAAATATAGAAATATGGAATTAATATTATTAGGCAATAAATAAATATGCTAAAACCCTATAATAGAAAGTATTATTTCCATTTATATATCCTTTACTCATTCTTAAGACTGAATAACATTATGGTTTCAAATTGCTATAGAAAACTTGTATTCTTTCTGAGATTTTCTATGTACTATTTTCTTATTTTTTCAAATGACAATAAGCTTGAAATAATATGTTTTTCAAAGGTAGAATGTGATGTCTTGATAGATGTTGAATTTTCATTACTCTGTGTAATCGCTGGGATGATCATTTGACAAAAGCTGTGTATAGAAGATATAATAATCATGTGACATCTGGCATTAAATGACTTTTAATGTGCTTCATAAGATACAGACATTCTAAATACAGTTATTTATTAAGTCTTAATATGTTTTATATTTCAGAATTCTAAAGTTCTGTTAAACTTTCTTATTTTTTTAAAATTTAAATTTATAAATTATAAATGCAAATGGAATTTGAAATGTTTTAAGTTTCAAAGGATTGTGATCTTGTGTAATAACTTGCATCACATTTTCATAAGGCAACTTATGTCTACATTTATACATTTCAACAATATAATTTTCAGTGATTATTTATTTTCATCTCTAATGATTAGAAGCTCTCCACGATATGTCATAAAATAATAAATGTTGACAATGGTGGAAAGCCTTTACATGTCCCTTGTTGAAATGAAATAGTATGACATATTGTTGTTTTCTTCCAACTCTATTAGTAAAGAGATTCACAATTTTATTATAAACCATAAAAGATTCCATGCCTGCTAAGGGTGAGTCAGGCATGGAGCGGTGAGGGGTGTGTGAGCAAGTGTGGGGTCTGGCCATTGCACAGTCAGACACGCCAACTGCTGCAATGTGGTGGGCAGCTCCAGGTTCCAGAATGGGTGACAGCTCTCTATGACGCTACAGCTAGACCAAGTGCAATGCAAGCAGCTTCAATGACTTGCACCAGGGAACATGGTGGTGCCCAGAAGCTTGGAGATTTCAGGAACCACAGGGCCCCAAAAAGGAATTCAGAGCCCTAACTCACGGAACTCCCAAGTCTCAGCTCTCCAAAGGGCTGTAGCTCTTCTGTCCTCTTCACCCACAGCATGGCGAGCAAGGGACATGTTTCAGCCCTGTTTGTGTTACAGCTCTTTTAGCCCTGCCATTCAACAGATACTGCCTCCAGGAAGAATGAGGTACACAGATAAGTGGAGGGGGTAGCTCTTTTCTGCAGCCAGGGTCTCCCAGTGAATGTTCAGCCCTTATAAGAGAGGTGACCCTTGAGTGGGAAGCTCCTCTCTGCAGGCAGATTGTCCCATTGTCTCTGTAGCTCTCAGCAGAGAGGAGGTCCTCGAGTGGGTACCTCCTCTCTAGAGATGGTAGTCCTGATGTCTGCTCAGCTCTGGCTGAGCCAGGAGCTTTTATGGGCCTCACAGGGGAGGAAGTCTGTGCCAATTGGTCCATGGGTGGCCATGGGCAGGCCCAAAAAAGGCACCACAAGTTCATACTCTGCTTAGTGGGATTGGCAGCTGGAGGACTTCAGGTCCTCCCTGGCCTGAAGGTGGGCACTCACTGGGGACCTGCTCCCTTCCACCCAGGAACCTGTCTGGCTCCTGTTGCCATTCATGGTGCTCAGGCTGTAGGTGTCAAGGAGCACCTGCAGACTGGCACTGAGCTGCCCACAGCACCACCTCAGCTTCACTCCTATGCTCCTCAGCACCCAAAGTCCAGAGGAAGCCAAGGTAGCAGGGGCCTGGCATGTCAGCACTTCCCTGGGGGTGTGCACACCCAGCCAGGCTGCTACAGTGCTGGGCTCAGCCCCAACTTTGCTCTGATATTAGAGTGGGCTCTGACAGCAGGGAGACTCCAGGTAGCCTGAGCAGGGACTTTTAAGCCTCCAAGGGCAAGGGGGACCTTCCTGGGCCTCCAAGAGTGCAGAGATGCCTAGGTTCACAGATGCAGCTTGGGTGTCTGCAGCTGTGTTTGGAAGGGCAGGGTTCCTGCCTGCTCCATGGACTTGGAGTGGGAGGTCCAGGTGTTCAGCCCTGACTTGGGAAGCTGCAGTTGCACATGGGAGGGCTGGACTTCCACCTGCTGCTGGGGTCCAAGAGCACAGGGATGCCCAGGTCCGCAGTCATGGCTTGGGCAGCTGCAGTGACACCCAGGGAGCTCCTGCCCCAACTCAGAAGGGACGGGGATCCTGCTTGTCCCTGGCTCCCACCAACTCCATGCAGCATGCAGCCCCAGCCATGCCTCCCTGCTGCAGCAAGCATGATGGCAGCAGCTGTTCCAGGTGGCCTAGAGCTGCCTTCAATATAATACATTTTACAGTAATCTAACAAGTTTTATCGACTATGAGAGTGGCAATTGCAAATTTCAATAAAATGTATTTGGTTGTTAAAAATAGGACTAAACTATTGAAAAATGCATTGCACTTTGAAAAATTTTAATGGCATACATTATGCTCCTTTTGCTTTTTAAAAAATACTGTTTTGAATTAGTAATCAGTAAAACATTTGGAGTATGTTTGTTTGACTAAAAGCAAAAATTAACTATGTTAGATATAGCCCCTTTGGCACCACATGTTCTGTGCTTTTTTTTTCTTGGTGGATTTTCTTTCAATAAATATCAAGGCTAAATAATCACTTCATGGAGTATTCAGCCACATTATTTACCTCATTTATTAATTACCTCAACTTCAATTGTGCTTATGATAAATATTATAGTTTATGTAACTTTTGAATTTCATTGGGGGTTGCAAAGTGGAGTTAGAAATAAAAACATGACCATTGATAAATTTAAAAAAAAACGCTTTACCTAATGTACCTACTGTAATGTAAAAAAAAAAAAACTATACCTAAATAAAAATGGAATAAGAATAAAAAACAAGTTTATTTTTATAAGCATGAGAATAAAAGGGAATGTAATAAAAAGAAAAGGGTAGAGAACACTTAAAAATTCATTTAACCAGGTGTTGCTCATTTAGATGATCACCTGGCAGAAATATTGTGTAGAGATACATTTGGGATCTGACTAGAATTATATCTTTATATTATTTCAGCTTCTAACGCTAATCAATTTTATTACACATTACCTTTCTTAATTTATACTTATAATACATTTGGAGTCAGGGATCCATTTAACTCTTAGTAATTTAATTATATTAGATAATGTATTCACTTTTCAATATTCTGCTAGTAGTTCTAACAATGCAGACTCAATGGTGCTTGCAATGAGACGGGAAAAAAATTGCTTGTTAAAATTACCACGTTCTTCTGTTCTGTTCCTGTGCCTTCCTGCTTGCTTGCCTTTCTTTCCTCCTTCCTTCCTTCTTACATTACAAATCTCAATGAGACAAGAATAATTCGGCATTTCTAATATTACATGTGTAACTTATTTGTGAAAAGATATTTTTAAAGATGAAAAACAATCTCATTACAGATGAGCATTAACATATTAACTTTTGCAATCAATTTTCAATATAGGAAACCCTAACTTTGAACTGTAATTGAGCAAAAATGTTATCCATCCCCCAATACTCCTATTCTTCTCATTGGCAGACTTGTATTACAAAAGTTTTGCTCAGTCATTATTGTTGTCATTGCTGTTGTTTTGTACTGAATTGTGTTTCCCAAAAAATTCCCACATTGAAATAATAACCCCCAATGCAACTGCATTTGGAGATAGGGTAGGGTCTTTAAAGAGGTAATTATGGTTAAATAAGGTAATGAAGACAGAGCTCTAATGTCAAAGCATTTGTGTCCTTTTAAGAAAAGGAAGGGTGAGCATACAGTGGAAAGGCCATGTGGAGTCACAGCCAGAAGGCAGCCATCTGCAAACCTAGGAGAGGTCTCAGGAGAAACCAAAGTTGCCAGTACCTTTACATTAGACTTCCAGACTCCAGGCTGTGAGAAAATAAATTTCTATTATTTAAGCCACCCGGTCTGTGATATTTTGTTATGGCAGCCTAAGATGACTAATACAATGATGCTTTTGGATTTTTAACAATAAGTTATTTGTGGAAATTTGTTTTCTTCGGTTGATATAAGCATGTCTACACAACAGTCTTAATTTTGCTTCTTGGCTTACAAAGCCAAAACACTTAGTACATGGCCATTAACAGAGTAAGTTTACAAAGTGTTTCCCTAAAGTACCACTTCTCCTCTCTGAACTCTTATAAGGATTTATCTGACCCTTCAAAATAACATTTTCTACAATTTACTTTAAAAAGCATGCTATTTTATTATTTACTTTATCACTGCAATTAAATAGAAAACAACTTGAATCAAAGAACAACATATTTGATTTTATTTTCCCTTCATGGACCTAAGCCTCTTCCAAGAAGCGCTTAATAAACAATTGTGAATTAATGATTACAGGAAAAGAAAGTAAATGCAGATATTCTAGAAATGGATTCACTTCCTGAATTATTTCTTTTAGAAATTTATCCAGTTGTTACTCAGTTTCCCAAGCCAGGAATCTAGAAACAAGTTTCTTTTACTTTTCTGTTTCAATCATATTTCCACATGAAAAAAAAAAAATCAGCAAGTTCAATCAATATTACCACTGTTCATATTAAATACCCCTCTTATTCATCCCCAGCATCATCACTCTAATGTGGATTACCTTGACCTTTATTTTTCTGAGCAATTACAACTGTCATATATCTGGCTCCCTGTATACATCTCACTCCATTTCTATTAATGTTCCAATGAAAATTACAAAAACTTTTCGAGGTATGAATAGCCATGCCATCCACCTGCTCCAAATATTTTGCAGCCTTTTCCATTCTCTTTCGCGAAAAAGTTATTAATTCTTACTTTGGTAGATGTGTTATCATATAAATATCTTGTTTCAAATCTTGGAAATGGAAACTAGTCCGGAAATTTCACAAAAACTGTGTGTAGTGGGGTGGTGGTGATGTGGGAAGTTAAATGTCATTAATAAATCAAAATATTCTCTATGACCGAAGTTCATAACTTCACTAATTGACTTAGGCTCCTTTTAGTTAATTTTGTTTACTAAGTTATTGAATTTCTGTATAAGAGCAAATTAATCAGATAATAGAAACAAGATATATGAAAATTAGTAATGCACGTCAGTTCAGCAAAAACTTAAGCCAGTACATTTTGCCTTTCACAGTACACTAATTACACAGTAATTAATCTTTTAATATTCCTATTCTTCTGTCTTTATTGAGGATTCATCCAGTGGGAAAAAATAAAAGCTTAGTGATATAATCTACTCATCTAAAATATACTTATTTTCAAGATATAAATAATAAGTATTAATATAAATAATAAATATGTTAATATTAATAGGCAATTTGAAGCATTGTTTGCATTCCTAACGAAATTGGAATAGTTATTCAAAATATTCTAACCTTTATAGAAGTCTGACATTGCTAAATATTGAATTAGGTTAAATGGAAAAAATATCAGAAAGAGAAAGAGAGAAGGAGAGAAAGCAAAAGAGAGAAGGGGGGACAAAAAGAAGAGGGAAAGGAAGCTAGGAAGACAAGAAGAGAAATGGGGAGGGAAGGAAATAAATATTAACAGAAAGATAAACCTTGTTGAATTCCAATGACTAAACATACGAAAGAAAAAGGGGCTGGAAATTAGTAGATCACTATTGTTGAGTTAAAAATAACTGCCTCTGTAAGTTTGTGTTACTCTAGAAGAATGCCATAGATGGTAGCTTAAACAACAACAATTTATATCTCCGAGTTCTGAAGCCTGAGATATCCAAAATCAGGCTCTGGTAGATAGAGCTGGTGTCTGGCAAGGAACCTTCTGGTTGAATGTCTCCTTGTATCCTCACATGGTGGAGAGAGAGCAGAGAAAGGAAGTAAGCTGTATCCTGTCTATTATTGTAAGAGAACTAATCCCATTAGTGAAAGCTCCACCTTCATGAGCTAATTACCTCCTTCGTAATACAGTCACACTGGTGTTTTCTATTTCAACATAAGAATTTTGGGGAGGAGACACAAACTTTCAGTCCATAGCAGTAACATATTCATAAATGTGACTTTGCCTGTGATAACTGAGGCTTATTTTTATTGTCCCAAAGTCCTGTTGCGTTAGTATTACTTTTGTTCTCAAATGGCTGTGTCAGGAACAATAAATCATGTGATTGCACAAGCTAACACAGTACTTAAAAGGCAATTAAATAAATTGCAACTTCCAATCAACTTAGAATAGAAAATTCAGAGTTGTTCTTCGCTAATCTTTTATACAAATCCCCAATACATGGTCCTAAAATTATAATTTTGAGGCAAAAACATTATTTTTGCTTAGTTAAGTGGATGTTCATAATTTTCTACAATTCTATCTAATAAAAGATTAAATATCCTAAATGTCTTTTCAAGTTTAAATAATCACTAATAGTCATTTTAAAAACTTAGAGGTATCAAGATCCACTATTATTTTAATATAATTATTTTACTTTTCTGTAACATCAAAACAAACATTAAGCAAAATGGGATTACATGAAAGTACTTTTAATATAAAAGAATTCATATTTTAGCTACTGTCAGTGGACCAATCTGTCCACATTAGATTACATAATTTTTTTGGAAATAGATGGTAAACACTTTGTTAATCCAGAAAAGGACTATAAAGCTAGCAAATACATTAATAGGAATAAAGATTATTATAGAATATGGTGAATCATAATAGATACAAGCAAGCAGAGGGAGCTTTGGACATTCTACTCCATAACAGACTGAGACAAAAAGGATAGTGCAATAGAGCAACTATAGTAAACGATAATTTATTGTCAATTTACAAATAACTAAAAGAGTGAAATTGGAATATTTCTAAAATAAATAACTGATAAATGCTTGAAGTGGTGGATACCCCAATTACCCTGATTGTATCCTTGTATGAAAACCTCACATATATCCCGTAAATGTGTAAAACTATTATGTATCCAAAATAATTAATTCTTCAAAAAAAATATAGACTTGTTCATCTTAGGAGCTGAGTAGCTGTCTAGATTGTCTATATATCACTGGAACTACAGAAGAATGTGACATAGAATGCAGTATGTTAATTTTGTTGGCTTTTCCTTTCCTCATTTCTTCCTCTTGAAGCACAATATAAAAATTTATTTGGGCTAATTTATTTATTACACAAACACACGGACACAAAATGTAAAAATTAATTTGAAAATTATTTCACAGGTAGTCCCATCAACCTGATTTCAGAAACTTTTTGTACATAGTTTTTATCAGGTCAGTAGCTAATTCTGGGTATACAATTCTCAGCAACATGGCTTAACTGGAAATGAAACAGTAAGGAGAAGATGAAAATTATACTCATCAGTTTGTAGAAAACTAAAGAAAGCAACTATATTAATAAAGCTCCTGAGTAGCATTATAGAGATTTTGGTTTGTAATAATGATAATAATAATCTTATTTATTATCATAATAATAATTTTATTTATTATAATAATAATTTTATTTATTATCATTATTCATTGTTTCTGACACTAGAATAATGTAGACAGCTTAATAGAATAAAGTAGCAAATTATCTTTCTCATGAGTAAAAGACGCAAATATTCACATTAAATAAATAATAATAAAACACCATTATTTTAACTGTATGCTTTACACATTAATCAGGCCAAAAGTTTCATTTTAAAATCAAATATAATTTAAAACATCAGGTATAAATGGAAAAATACAACAATCTATATATTCTTTGGGAAGAGAAACACTGGGTAAGAATAAACTATTTCTTACTCAAGAAAGTCAGGGGGAGTGTGTGTTTGTGTGTGTGTGTGTGTGAGACGTATATACACATATGAATACATGAGCAACATGACCACATTCTCCCCCAAATTAAGGTATGTAGATATTTTTGTTTGCTTTCTTTAAGTCAGGAGGGAAGAAAGCCTGGAAAATGAATTGTAAAATAAGCCCAAGTAAAAAGATGAAATAAAATAGAGATAAGAGCAGAAATCAGTGAAAGAGATAACAGAAATAACAATATTAAAATATCAGTGAAAGCAAGAACTGCTTCTTTATAAAATTATAATAGAATAAAATTATTTTACCTAAATTGATAAAAGCAAATGTTCAAATGGTTAATGTAAATTAGTAAGGCTAGACATGAAACGAGGCATCATTAATATTCCTCCTACAAATCCTAAAATGAGAATAAAGAACGATTATGAAATATATTATGACAATATCCTGAACTACTTAGATACAAGGTACAAATTTCTTGAAAGATATAAATTACCACAATTAATTCCAGAATAAATAGAAATCCTGAATATATCTATTTGACTAAGGAAAGTTAATTCATCAAGAGCACCTGTATCTCATTTTTGAGCTCTTACTTTTGCACTTTATACCCCATATATTAAGGTCTATCTTCATCTTGTTTTCACAAAGAGTGATACATTTTCTAAGTCATTATATATCTTGGATTCTATCACGGTTGCTTATCATTCTTTGTTTGGGCAATATTTCTTCACCCAAAACTTTACAATTAAAAATAAATACAATCACCACTTGTTTGAGTTGAAATGCTTTTCATTGAAAATAGCTGCAAACCTTTTTCACTTAATAAGCTAACATAATGCCTCATATAAATGGAAATTTAGATATAAGCCCTTGCAGGCATAATTGTTATAAATACTTAATGAGTGCTATATATTTTTTTTCTGCCTCTTACTTCTACAATTCTCAGCTTTAAACTTAATCTCTAAACATGTTCCCTGTGATGTCAACGTGTCTTCCAATAGCATTTGTGGATGAATGTTTCTTCATTCATCTGCAACAGGAGATTGAGAAGTCTCTTTCCTAATCAGGAACTGTAATTACCCTTTTTGGTTTAAATATACTACCCTGGGCATGTGCACGTAGTTATGACAATAGCAATTTTAGGAAATATTGTCATTTATTGACAAACCAACTTGTAGACAGATGCTTGCACAAAGTAAGGATTCTCTTATGAGGAAAAAAGAAGTAAAGAGGTCAGCCTGCTTGCTGTATGTTTATTGCTAAAGTGCATTATTTTTCTTTCCTTCAAATTTAAAATGCTTTTTAAATCTTATCATGTTCCTTATAACTCAAATATTTTAATAATATATTTTTATGGATATATTTTATATTACATTGCCTGGCATAATGTGAGGTCTTGTAATTTGCACAGAAGTTGTGATGTAGAGGTATCAAAGGCAATTGCGATGAACCTAAAAGAATGCCATAGGATACTAATCAGGGAAGACCACAGACAAAAAAAAATCTAGTGATTTATATTCAGAAGTAAAATGTCCTAACCAGGGTAGGAAAGCACATAGAACACTTAATAGGAAGTCAAATGAAAATAAATTAAAAATGTGTAGTGCAAAGTATGGCAGCATCATGCAAATATGAGTTCTGAAGGCAATGGAGGGTCCTTGGATAGAGGCTTCTTAGAGGCTTGGTAGCAATAAGGAATGCATAAATGGCTAAGAAACAAAGTCTTACTGAAATTAGAAAATGGTGAAGAAAAAGAAATCTTTAGGGGATGTTAAACCAGAGAAAGGTCCATTTATTTCTATTTGTTGAAGAAACCCCTGTAGCAACAGGAAAGATTATGCTTGAATTTAGAAGTAAAGAAAGCCATCAAACTTTACCACCCTAGATTCTTTTTCTACTGTTAGTCCCAGAAAATTCAACATGAAAATAAAAAAACAACATAGTGAATACTGAACTCATAAAAGTTACTACACGAATAAAAGAAAGCATGAGAAGTATATATTTTTAAACAAAAACATTCTCAAAACAAAGCTAAGAAACAAAGTAAAACTGTAATACACCATTCTGATATGAATAAAATGTAATCAAACAAGCATTTGCAAAATTGATTTTCAGAATTGGAATAACATCACAAATCAAACATGTAATAAATTAATTGATCAGCAATGGCTATTAACATAAAACAAAAGATAACAGCACATTATGAACTTCTCTATGGAAGAACACAGCAGTGCTTAGTACATAATAGTACTACAGAAATAAATAAATAAATAAATAAATAAATAAATAAATAAATAAAACTTTAGCTCTATCAGAATTTCACAGGACCTAAAGAGGACAGAGGGGCATGCTACATTGCACCACGGGGATGCAGTCAGCAGTATCCAGTTGGTGGAAAACTCTCTGCACAGGCAAATGGTGTCTTCCATAAATGAATGTTAAAACAGAGGAAAAAGACAGAGAGAGAGAGAGAGAGATGAAGGTGAGGAGGGAGGGAGGTGGTTACAGACAAAAATGACTCTAAGACATAGGGGCTAATGTGAGGATCTTATTTTCATTATGATTTTTAACACATTATCAGACAATTGAAACTTTAAAGAGAGAGGATATTTAGGGGTATTACATACTAACAGTTAATTTTATTTAGCTTAGATCATATTCTAATGCTATTAAACATAAAAGTCTTTTTCTCACAGAGATTGAATTGCATACCTGTGCTATCCTTTCTAGTTCACAAAGTTCAAACAGAATTATCTGGTCCGACAAGGTGAACGAAAGAGCCCGTCTATACTCTGCAGGTCAAGACATCTTATGTGGTCCTAACATTCTTGGAGTCAGCCTCTAGAGTCCTCAGGTCCCATTTCTTGTGGTCCCTTCATCCCACATTCCAAGTTCCATACCACAGGCAGTTATCCCACATCAGCTGTCACCAAAGAAATATTCACAGTTTTGAAATTCACTTCTAGGCTCCATCTAGAGCTTTACCACAGCTTAATTATTTAAAAAATTAGACTGCCAGCAAGACGAATAAAGAAGAAAAGAGAGAAGAATCAAATAGATGCAATAAAAAATGACAAAGGGGATATCACCACCGATCCCACAGAAAAACAAACTACCATCACAGAATACTATAAACACCTCTATGCAAATAAGCTGGAAAATCTAGAAGAAATGGATAAATTCCTCAACACATACATCCTACCAAGACTAAATGATGAAGAAGTTGAATCTCTGAATAGACCAATAACAGGCTCTGAAATTGAGACAATAATCAATAGCTTACCAACCAAAAAAAGTCCAGGACCAGATGGATTCATAGCCAAATTCTACCAGAGGTACAAGGAGGAGCTGGTACAATTCCTTCTCAAACTATTCCAATCAATAGAAAAAGAGGGAATCCTCCCTAACTCATTTTATGAGGCCAGCATCAACCTGATACCAAAGCCTGGCAGAGACACAACAAAAAAAGAGAATTTTAGACCAATATCCTTGATGAACATTGATGCAAAAATCCTCAATAAAATACTGGCAAACCGAATCCAGCAGCACATCAAAAAGCTTATCCACCATGATCAAGTGGGCTTCATCCCTGGGATGCAAGGCTGGTTCAACATACACAAATCAATAAATGTAATCCAGCATATAAACAGAACCAAAGACTAAAACCACGTGATTATCTCAATAGATGCAGAAAAGGCCTTTGACAAAATTCAACAGCCCTTCATGCTAAAAACTCTCAGTAAATTAGGTATTCATGGGAAGTATCTCAAAATAATAAGAGCTATCTATGAAAAACCCACAGCCAATATCATACTGAATGGCCAAAAACTGGAAGCATTCCCTTTGAAAACTGGCATGCCCTCTCTCACCACTCCTATTCAACATAGTGTTGGAAGTTCTGGCCAGGGCAATCAGGCAGGAGAAGGGAATAAAGCATATTCAATTAGGAAAAGAGGAAGTCAAATTGTCCCTGTTTGCAGATGACATGATTGTGTATCTAGAAAACCCCATCATCTCAGCCCAAAATCTCCTTAAGCTGATAGGCAACTTCAGCAAAGTCTCAGGATACAAAATCAATGTGCAAAAATCACAAGCATTCTTATACAGCAATAACAGACAAACAGAGAGCCAAATCATGAGTGAACTCCCATTCACAATTGCTTCAAAGAGAATAAAATACCTAGGAATCCAACTTACAAGGGATGGGAAGGACCTCTTCAAGGAGAACTACAAACCTCTGCTCAATGAAATAAAAGAGGATACAAACAAATGGAAGAACATTCCATGCTCATGGGTAGGAAGAATCAATATCATAAAAATGGCCATATTGCCCAAGGTAATTCATAGATTCAATGCCATCCCCATCAAGCTACCAATGACTTTCTTCACAGAATTGGAAAAAACTACTTTAAAGTTCATATGGAACGAAAAAAGAGCCCACATTGACAAGTCAATCCTAAGTCAAAAGAGCAAAGCTGGAAGCATCACGCTACCTGACTTCAAACTATACTACAAGGCTACAGTAACCAAAACAGCATGGTACTGGTACCAAAACAGAGATATAGACCAATGGAACAGAACAGAGCCCTCAGAAGTAATGCCGCATATCTACAACTATCTGATCTTTGACAAACCTGACAAAAACAAGAAATGGGGAAAGGATTCCCTATTTAATAAATGGTGCTGGGAAAACTGGCTAGCCATATGTAGAAAGCTGAAACTGGATCCCTTCCTTGCACCTTATACAAAAATTAATTCAAGATGGATTAAAGACTTACATGTTAGACCTAAAACCATAAAAACCCTAGAAGAAAACCTAGGCAATACCATTCAGGACATAGGCATGGGCAAGGACTTCATGTCTAAAACACCAAAAGCAATGGCAACAAAAGCCAAAATTCACAAATGGGATCTAATTAAACTAAAGAGCTTCTGCACAGCAAAAGAACCTACCATCAGAGTGAACAGGCAACCTACAGAATGGGAGAAAATTTTTACAACCTACTCATCTGACGAAGGGCTAATATCCAGAATCTACAATGAACTCAAACAAATTTACAAGAAAAAAACAACCCCATCAAAAAGTGGGCAAAGTATATGAACAGACACTTCTCAAAAGAAGACATTTATGCAGCCAAAAAACACATGAAAAAATTCTCATCATCATTGGCCTTCAGAGAAATCCAAATCAAAACCACAATGAGATACCATCTCACAGCAGTTAGAATGGTGATCATTAAAAAGTCAGAAAACAACAGCTGCTGGAGAGGATGTGGAGAAATAGGAACATGTTTACACTGTTGGTGGGATTGTAAACTAGTTCAACCATTGTGGAAGTCGGTGTGGTGATTCCTCAGGGATCTAGAACTAGAAATACCATTTGACCCAGCCATCCCATTACTGGGTATATACCCAGAGGATTATAAATCATGCTGCTATGAAGACACATGCACACATATGTTCATTGCCAGACTATACACAATAGCAAAGACTTGGAACCAACCCAAATGTCCAACAATGATAGACTGGATTAAGAAAATGTGGCACATATACACCATGGAATACTATGCAGCCATAAAAAATGATGAGTTCATGTCCTTTGTAGGGACATGGATGAAGCTGGAAACCATCATTCTCAGCAAACTATCGCAAAGACAAAAAACCAAACACCGCATGTTCTCACTCATAGGTGGGAATTGAACAATGAGAACACATGGACACAGGAAGGGGAACATCACACACCAGGGCCTGTTGTGGGGTAGGGGGACGGGGGAGGGATAGCATTAGGAGATATACCTAATGTTAAATGACGAGTTAATGGGTGCAGCACACCAAGATGGCACATGTATACATATGTAACAAACCTGCACGTTGTGCACATGTACCCTAAAACTTAAAGTATAATAATAATAAAAAAATTAAATACTAAAAAAATTAAATACTATGTTTTTAGAAATGTTATGTTTTCCTTGTGGATTTCAACATTAAACATTTAATAGGTATGTATTGAGAGCTTACTCTTTTAGGTGCTAGGGATAGAAAAATGAGCATATCTGTGTCTCTACTCTCATTTTAGTAGAAGAGGGCCAGTGGCAAGTTGGGTTGAATCTTTTAGAATCCAGCCAAAGTTTTGGAGCATATTAGCTGTGAATTTAAGACAAAACACTTCTTTCTTTTTTCTGTTCTTCAATACACCATAGCAAAAGAGAAACCCATAATTGATCTGACAGAATTGTCTTGATGATCAAATTATATATAATAAAGAGCCATTTCTATCACAAAGAGCAAAATTTCTGCTTTGATAGTTATTTTTTCTAATAGTTTATCAAAGTTGAAACCCAATAAAAGAGCTACTCACAAAAAATCTATAACTTTAATGAAATTAAAAGAGTTTATATCAAATGCAAATAAGATTAACATTACAGACTATATTCTATAGACATGTACAATTACATATAAATACATATATGCATTTTGTTTTATTTTATCCTTGATATTAAAATAATAGTTAAAATATTTATTAAAAATATTAATGAATGGAACATATACCGTCAAATTAGTGCTTTATAAATATTCATTTAAAGAATGCTTTCTATTCATCTCCAATTATCGTGTGATTTGTACTTCATATGATAATTCAAAAAAGAGTATGAAGAAGTGGGGCAGAGTCATTATTTTTTCCTCATAATTGAAAGTCTTAAATTAATAATAGAGGAAATTATTAGTTAGGGTGAAGAAAACACTCCTTACAAACTATGACTGGGAGTGGAAATCAGTTGAAACATCCAGAGAGATATTTATGAAATTGAACCTCAAATTTTAGAAAAAATAAATTATTAAGATGATCTATAAATTTATCTTTTTAAGAATATTTAATGATATAAAATAAATTACAATATTAGTTGAGTAAAAATGCAAGTTGAAGAAAACTTTAATTTTATAACAAACATATGTCGAGAAATCAAGACGCAAATGTTGGCATTCCTTAATATAAAAATATAATATTTTGGAAAATATTAGATAATGCAAATGGAAAGAAGAAAAAACACTAAATTTTATTATTTTGGTATGTATTATGAGATAATAACCACTTTGGTTAGAATATTTTAAAATATTTGTTTGCTTCTTTATTCTACTTTCCCCAAAAGGTATATTTTTGTAATAAAAATGTGCAAAATTGTCAAGGTTACAAACAAACTTTTAAGTGTCTATAATGCCATATTTATTAATGTTAATGTTATATTTATTTTAATATGAAAATATAGTGCAGACAAAAATAACATCACATTTTTTCTCACAATGATTCTTGGAGTAAAATCTGTCTTTGAATTTCTCATTAATGTTAAAAATGAACCTTTAGTTTAATAATTTAAAATATATTATTACTTTCTGCTGCCAGCTGCAAACAGTCCAAGAATGACTAGGGAGAGCAATGCCTTAAGGTCAGTTGAATTTCTCTTTTAGTGATCTAATCAAAGAAAAATTGATCTAAAGAAATACTGAGTCTGTGTATCCTGAAACACATAGAAAACAGTTCTGTTATAGAAAATGAAGAATTTGGAAAGCATAATACTTCACAAATTTTGAATTATTTTGTTGATAATTTCAATTTTAATGTCCTCTACAAAATTGCAAAATGTCTCAAAATTTTTAGTTTATTCATATATTCTGAATTATATTAAATGATAAAATAAAGTAGAATGTTCACAAACAACAAATGCTCTTTATATAATTAAGGCACTCAAAAGGCACTTTATTAATAATTCCAAATTATTTATCAGGGTTAACATATTTATCCTTTAAGAAATAAGATCCTTACATTTTACAGTGAAAATGGGAAACACATTAACACAAAAGGACCTCAGATTTATGTCAGTTAATGTATTTATTTAATTCTCATTATGCTTTACTGAAAAATGATTAAATGGGTAATTTATATAATCTGTATAGTTAAACAATAAAATTACAGTCAATTTTTCTAAACACACCAGTGTAACTCTATTATAGATCTTTCATAAATTATCAATAGAATAATTGTGAAGAGCACACGTCTTGGGGGTTAAATTACTGGGTTCAAATCTAAGCTCCCTACTAAGCAGAAGTTTAATATTGGATAAATCTTGTCCCTTAGCTTCTTCAACATTAAAATAGGATAATAGTAGTGCTTACCTCATCAGATTATTGTGAAAATAAAAATGATTACTATCAGAAAAAAATAAGTATTTTATAAAATCTAAAATTTTAAAATCTAAGAATTATCTCTACATACAAATTTTATTTTATTTATCATTAATATTGTTATTTCTCATGAAAATACTACATCTGCTATTACTAACTAGTATTAGCAATATGGAAGGTAGTATCGTCAGATTTTTAATTGCAATGAAAACTCAGTAACCTCTCCTAACAATGCTTTGCAGAATATTAACTTAAAATTATTGATCATGAAGTGATTCTTAGTGAACACCTGAAATCTTTTGGTATTTTATAGAAGAGAAAACAACATAAGTATATAGAAGCATTTAATTTGTGCAGTTTATGTGAAAAATTGTAAGCATATTATTGAATTTTTATGACAGTCCTGAGAGGTAATTTTTTAATTCAGCTTCTACAGATGTTGAAACTGAGTTTTACTCTATAAATATTCAGTAGAGCCAGTACTGCTTTTCTGCAGACAAAGGAAATCTTCAGTCGTTTGCCTACAACATTATAATTAAGCCACTATTTAGGCTTAAAAAGGTAGTCTCTATGTGATTATTTTTATGAAGTTGGAGTAATGCAAAAATGACACATTATCTTTTTAAAGAAGGTATAGGAATATGGGAAAGAATGTTAGCCTAGAGATTGAACAACTGACTTGTCTAAATCACAGTATTTTTGTGAGTCTCCAAAGAAATGTCTGTGGAAATGTTCTGTGAACTGTGGAAGCACATGCCACTGGGACACTATAGAACTTTGAAGTTGTTATGGTGGCGGCAATATTTTTTTTAATTTTAAAAAATTTTCAATAAATCACTTTGAAAGTCCTACATACACACAGGCCGAGATGGTTAAGTTTTATATTTTATTTCATTTTTATTTATTTATTTTTATACTTTAAGTTTTAGGGTACATGTGCACAACGTGCAGGTTTGTTACATATGTATACATGTGCCATCTTGGTGTGCTGCACCCATTAACTCGTCATTTAACATTAGGTATATCTCCTAATGTTATCCCTCCCCCACCCCCACCCCCAGCAGGCCCTGGTGTGTGATGTTCCCCTTCCTGTGTCCATGTGTTCTCATTGTTCAATTCCCACCTATGAGTGAGAACATGCGGTGCTTGGTTTTTTTGTCCTTGTGATAGTTTGCTGAGAATGATGGTTTCCAGCTTTATCCATGTCCCTACAAAGGATGTGAATCCATCATTTTTTATGGCTGCATAGTATTCCATGGTGTATATGTGCCACATTTTCTTAATCCAGTCTATCCTTGTTGGACATTTGGCTTGGTTCCAAATCTTTGCTATTGTGAATAGTGCCACAATAAACATATGTGTGCATGTGTCTTTATAGCAGCATGATTTATAATCCTTTGGGTATATACCCAGTAATGGGATGGCTGGGTCAAATGGTATTTCTAGTTCTAGATCCCTGAGGAATCACCATACTGACTTCCACAATGGTTGAACTAGTTTACAGTCCCACCAACAGTGTAAAAGTGTTCCTATTTCTCCTCATCCTCTCCAGCACCTCTTGTTTCCTGACAATTTAATGATCACCATTCTAACTGGTGTAAGATGGTAGCTCATTGTGGTTTTGACTTGCATTTCTCTGATGGCCAGTGATGATGAGCATTTTTTCATGTGTCTTTTAGTTGCATAAATGTTTTCTTTTGAGAAGTGTCTGTTCATATCCTTTGCCCACTTATTGATGGGGTTGTTTGGTTTTTTTCTTGAAAATTTGTTTGAGTTCATTGTAGATTCTGGATATTAGCCCTTTGTCAGATGAGTAGATTGCAAAAATTTTCTCCCATTCTGTAGGTTGCCTGTTCACGCTGATGGTAGTTTCTTTTGCTGTGCAGAAGCTCTTTAGTTTAATTAGATCCCATCTGTCAATTGTGGCTTTTGTTGCCATTGCCTTTGGTGTTTTAGACATAAAGTCCTTGCCCATGCCTATGTCCTGAATGGTACTGCCTAGGTTTTCGTCTAGGGTTTTTATGGTTTCAGGTCTAACATTTAAGTCTTTAATCCATCTTGAATTAATTTTTGTATAAGGCATAATGAAGGGATCCAATTTCAGCTTTCTACATATGGCTAGCCAGTTTTCCCAGCACCATTTATTAAATAGGGAATCCTTTCCCCATTTCTTGTTTTTGTCAGGTTTGTCAAAGATCAGATAGCTGTAGATATGGGGCATTATTTCTGAGGGCTCTGTTCTGTTCCAATGATCTATATCTCTGTTTTGGTACAAGTACCATGCTGTTTTGGTTACTGTAGCCTTGTAGTATAGTTTGAAGTCAGGTAGCATGATGCCTCCAGCTTTGTTCTTTTGGCTTAGGATTGACTTGGTAATGCAGGCTCTTTTTTGATTCCATATGAACTTTAAAGTAGTTTTTTCCAATTCTGTGAAGAAAGTCATTGGTAGCTTGATGGGGATGGCATTGAATCTATAAGTTACCTTGGGCAATATGGCCATTTTCATGATATTGATTCTTCCTACCCATGAGCATGGAATATTGTTCCATTTATTTGTATCCTCTTTTATTTCATTGAGCAGTGGTTTGTAGTTCTCCTTGAAGAAATCCTTTAAATCCCTTGTAAGTTGGATTCCTAGGTATTTTATTCTCTTTGAAGCAATTGTGATGGGAGTTCACTCATGATTTGGCTCTCTGTTTGTCTGTTATTGGTGTGTAAGAATGCTTGTGATTTTTGCACATTGATTTTGTATCCTGAGACTTTGCTGAAGTTGCCTATCAGCTTAAGGAGATTTTGGGCTGAGACAATGGTGTTTTCTAGATATACAATCATGTCATCTGCAAACAGGGACAATTTGACTTCCTCTTTTCCTAATTGAATACCCTTTATTTCCTTCTCCTGCCTGATTGCCCTGGCCAGAACTTCCAACACTATGTTGAATAGGAGTGGTGAGAGAGGGCATCCCTGTCTTGTGCCAGTTTCCAAAGGGAATGCTTCCAGTTTTTGCCCATTCAGTATGATATTGGCTGTGGGTTTTTCATAGATAGCTCTTATTATTTTGAGATACTTCCCATGAATACCTAATTTACTGAGAGTTTTTAGCATGAAGGGCTGTTGAATTTTGTCAAAGGCCTTTTCTGCATCTATTGAGATAATCATGTGGCTTTTGTCATTGGTTCTGTTTATATGCTGGAGTAAGTTTACTGATTTGTGTATGTTGAACCAGCCTTGCATCCCAGGGATGAAGCCCACTTGATCATGGTGG
The DNA here is from genome assembly GCF_000001405.40 of Homo sapiens. Taxonomy (NCBI): domain Eukaryota; kingdom Metazoa; phylum Chordata; class Mammalia; order Primates; family Hominidae; genus Homo; species Homo sapiens. The sequence goes on along the minus strand of NC_000003.12, from coordinate 166,621,216 downwards.
ATAAGCTTTTTGATGTATTGCTGGATTTGTTTTGCCAGTATTTTATTGAGGATTTTTGCACTGGTGTTCATCAGGGATATTGGACTAAAATTCTCTTTTTTTGTTGTGTCTCTGCCAGGCTTTGGTATCAGGATGATGCTGGCCTCATAAGATGAGTTAGGGAGGATTCCCTCTTTTTCTATTGATGGGAGTAGTTTCAGAAGGAATGGTACCAGCTCTTCCTTCTACCTCTGGTAGAATTCGGCTGTGAGTCTGTCTGGTCCTGGACTTTTTTTGGTTGGTAAGCTATTAATTATTGCCTCAATTTCGGAGCCTGTTATTGGTCTATTCAGAGATTCAACTTCTTCCTCGTTTAGTCTTGGGAGAATGTATGTGTCGATGAATTTATCCATTTCTTCTAGATTTTCTAGTTTATTTGCATAGAGGTGTTTATAGTATTCTCTGATGGTAGTTTGTATTTCTGTGGGATCGGTGGTGATATCCCCTTTATCATTTTTTTATTACTTCTATTTGATTCTTCTCTCTTTTCTTTTTTACTAGTCTTGCTAGTGGTCTATCAATTTTGTTGATCTTTTCAAACAACCAGCTCCTGGATTCATTAATTTTTTTAAGGGTTTTTTGTGTCTCTATTTCCTTCAGTTCTGCTCTGATCTTAGTTATTTCTTGTCTGCTGCTAGCTTTTGAATGTGTTTGCTCTTGCTTCTCTAGTTGTTTTAATTGTGATGTTAGGGTGTCAATTTTAGATCTTTCCTGCTTTCTCTTGTGAGCATTTAGTGCTATAAAAGTCCCTCTACACACTGCTTTGAATGTGTCCCAGAGATCCTGGTATGTTGTGTCTTTGTTCTCATTGGTTTCAAAGAACATCTTTATTTCTGCCTTCATTTCATTATGTACCCAGTAGTCATTCAGGAGCAGGTTGTTCAGTTTCCATGTAGTTGAGTGGTTTTGAGTGAGTTTCTTAATCCTGAGTTCTAGTTTGATTGCACTGTGGTCTGAGAGACAGTTTGTTATAATTTCTGTTCTTTTACATTTGTTGAGGAGTGCTTTACTTCCAACTATGTGGTCAATTTTGGAATAAGTGTGGTGTGGTGCTGAGAAGAATGTATATTCTGTTGATTTGTGGTGGAGAGTTCTGTAGATGTCTATTAGGTCCACTTGGTGCAGAGCTGAGTTTAATTCCTGGATATCCTTGTTAACTTTCTGTCTTGTGGATCTGTCTAATGTTGACAATGGGGTGTTAAAGTCTCCCATTATTATTGTGTGGGAGTCTAAGTCTCTTTCTAGTCTCTAAGGACTTGCTTTATGAATCTGGGTGATCCTGTATTGGGTGCATATATATTTAGGATAGTTAGCTCTTCTTGTTGAATTGATCCGTTTACCATTATGTAATGGCCTTCTTTGTCTCCTTTGTCCTTTGTTGGTTTAAGGTCTGTTTTATCAGAGACTAGGATTGCAACCCCTGCCTTTTTCTGTTTTCCATTTGCTTGGTAGATCTTCCTCCATCCCTTTATTTTGAGCCTATGTGTGTCACTGCACGTGAGATGGGTTTTCTGAATATAGCACACTGATGGGTCTTGACTCTTTATCCAATTTGCCAGTCTGTGTCTTTTAATTGGAGCATTTAGCCCATTTACATTTAAGGTTAATATTGTTATGTGTGAATTTGATCCTGTCATTATGATGTTAGCTGGTTATTTTGCTCGTTAGTTGATGCAGTTTCTTCCTAGCCTTGATGGTCTTTACAATTTGGCATGTTTTTGCAGTGGCTGGTAGCAGTTTTTCCTTTCCATGTTTAGTTCTTCCTTCAGGAGCTCTTTTAGGGCAGGCCTGGTGGTGACAAAATCTCTCAGCATTTGCTTGTCTGTAAAGGATTTTATTTCTCCTTCACTTATGAAGCTTAGCTTGGCTGGATATGAAATTCTGGGTTGAAAATTCTTTTCTTTAAGCATGTTGAATATTGGCCCCCACTCTCTTATGGCTTGTAGGGTTTCTGCCAAGAGATCAGCTGTTAGTCTGATGGGCTTCCCTTTGTGGGTAACCCGACCTTTCTCTCTGGCTGCCCTTAACATTTTTTCCTTCATTTCAACTTTCATGAATCTGACAATTATGTGTCTTGGAGTTGCTCTCCTCGAGGAATATCTTTGTGGCATTCTCTGTATTTCCTGAATTTGAACGTTGGTCTGCCTTGCTAGATTGGGGAAGTTCTCCTGGATAATATCCTGCAGAGTGTTTTCCAACTTGGTTCCATTCTTCCCGTCACTTTCAGGTACACCAATCAGATGTAGATTTGGTCTTTTCACATAGTCCCATATTTCTTGGAGGCTTTGTTCATTTCTTTTTATTCTTTTTTCTCTACACTTCTCACTTCATTTCATTCATTTGATCTTCCATCACTGATACCCTTTCTTCCAGTTGATCGAATTGGCTACTGAGGCTTGTGTATTCATCACGTAGTTTTCGTGCTTTGGTTTTCAGCTCCATCAGGTCCTTTAAGGACTTCTCTGCATTGGTTACTCTAGTTAGCCACTCGTCTAATTTTTTTTCAAGGTTTTTAACTTCTTTGCCATGGGTTCAAACTTCCTCCTTTAGCTCGGAGTAGTTTGATCATCTGAAGCCTTCTTCTCTCAATTCATCAAAGTCATTCTCCATCCAGCTTTGTTCTGTTGCTGGTGAGGAGCTGTGTTCCTTTGGAGGAGGAGAGGCGCTCTGATTTTTAGAGTTTCCAGTTTTTCTGCTCTGTTTTTTCCCCATCTTTGTGGTTTTATCTGCCTTTGGTCTTTGATGATGGTGACGTACAGATGGGGTTTTGGTGTGGATGTCCTTTCTGTTTGTTAGTTTTCCTTCTAACAGACAGGACCCTCAGCTGCAAGTCTGTTGGAGTTTGCTGGAGGTCCAGTCCAGACGCTGTTTGCCTGGGTATCAGCAGCAGAGGCTGCAGAACAGTGGATACTGGTGAGCAGCAAATGTTGCTGCTTGATCATTCCTCTGGAAGTTTTGTCTCAGAGGAGTACCCAGCCATGTGAGGTGTCAGTCTGCCCCTACTGGGGGGTGCCTCCCAGTTAGGCTACTCAGGGGTCAGGGACCCACTTGAGGAGGCAGTCTGTCCGTTCTTAGATCTCCAGCTGCATGCTGGGAGAACCATTATTCTCTTCAAAGCTGTCAGACAGGGACATTTAAGTCTGTAGAAGTTTCTGCTGCCTTTTGTTTGGCTATGCCCTGCCCCCAGAGGTGGAGTCTACAGAGGCAGGCAGGCCTCCTTGAGCTGCAGTGGGCTTCACCCGGTTTGAGCTTCCCGCCCACTTTGTTTACCTACTCAAGCCTTGGCAATGGTGGGCACCCCTACCCCAGCCTCACTGCCACCTTGCAGTTTGATCTCAGACTGCTGTGTTAGCAATGAGCGAGGCTCCATGGGAGTAGGACCCTCTGAGTCATGCACGGGATATAATCTCCTGGTGTGCCCTTTGCTAAGACCTTTGGAAAAGCACAGTATTAGGGTGGGAGTGACCCAATTTTCCAGGTGCCATCTGTCACCCCTTTCTTTGACTAGGAAAGGGAATTCCCTGACCCCTTGCGCTTCCTGGGTGAGGCAATGCCTAGCCCTGCTTCAGCTCACACTGGGTGCACTGCACCCACTGTCCTGCACCCACTTTCCGACACTCCCCAGTGAGATGAGCCTGGTACCTCAGTTGGAAATGCAGAAATCACCTGTCTTCTGCGTCGCTCATGCTGGGAGCTCTAGACTGGAGCTGTTCCTATTCAGCCATCTTCTTTATTTATTTTTTAATGAGACAGGGTCTCACTCTGTTATGCAGGCTGTAGTGGAGTGGCAGAATCATTGCTTACTGCAGCCTCCAGTTCCTGGGCTCAAGCTCTCCTCCTGTCTCAGCCTCCTGAGTAGTTGGGCCTACAGATGCATGCCACCCCACCTAGCTAATTTTTATAAAACACTTTTGTAGAGACAAGAGACAGGGTCTCGCTTTATTGCCCAGGCTTGTCTCGAACTTCTGGCTAGAAGCAATCCTACCACCTGTGCCTCCCAAAATGTTGAAATTACAGGCATGAGCCACCACACCCAGCCCTTGTACAACTTTATACCACCATAATGTACACAGTATTTCTCTCTTCTGGAATGCTGTGTGATAAATATTTTCATAGCTTATTTTCATTTTAATATATATAAACATTCAATAAATGGTTCTTCACAAACGGCTAGTCTCTTGGAATTTGTATGTAGAGATAATTCCTAGATTTTAATTTTTTGAATTTATTTTTTACAAAACCTGTTACTAACTTCTTCCAGAAAAATTATTTAAAAAGAAATGGATATCATTTCGATTTTAAATAATGTTTTTATGTGGTACCTCCTTTGGTTATCCTATATTTATCATAAATAATAATGGTTGTAGTGAAACTAGTATCTTGCAAAGTAATATTTATCATCACAGAATTAGTAGCAACAATGGCTCATAATTTCTGAGCACTTATATCAGTCAGTCTGCTAAATACTTGCATTGTGCCGTTTCATCTTCACAACAATCCCTTGAGATGGCTTTTGCTATTGTATGCTTTATAGGTTACAAAATTGAAGTCAAGGGGTTAGTTAATTTTGCCAAGCTATGAGAGTAAGAAATGCAATCTAAAGTCTGAAACAGGAGCCAAGATTAAACTAATATTTAAAGATCCATATTACTACCCTGAGATACAGTTTTGCTAAATTATGATTTCCCTGCCAGTATCTAATTACAACAATTAGCAAGGACTTTCACTATTCAGTTTTTATCTTATAGCTTCATTATCCTCAAAATTTTACTCACTTTCATTTTATAAAATAAACCACCTGTTGCTAGATATGGTTTTACTAAAATCCACATTTACTCCAAAAATGTACCACATCAGGAAAAATATACTTGGTTTGACTTAATTTGTATTTATTTAACAGTTGCATTCAAATGATAAATTAGATGTCTGTATATTTTACCTGCAAACTAAAACACTTTTGAGGGTGAAAGAGTCACTAATAATAAATATGCCAAGACAGCAGGAATAATGTAAGAATATCCCAGCAAACCAGAATATCAGGTCAACCCACTCATAATGAATAAACTAGAATTCTCTGCAGTCCCAAATAATTAGCCTAATTGAGCTTCTCTTTTTTTTCTGTTTTGATCTATGAGTAGTTTAAAAAATATATCCATTGTTTCTCTGATAGCCAGTGATGATGAGCATTTTTTCAGATGTCTGTTGGCTGCATAAATGTCTTCTTTGCAAATCAAAACCACAATGAGATACCATCTCACACCAGTTAGAATGGCCATCATTAAAAAGTCAGGAAACAACAGGTGCTGGAGAGGATGTGGAGAAATAGGAGCACTTTTACACTGTTGGTGGGACTGTAAACTGGTTTAACCATTGTGGAATACAGTGTGGCAATTCCTCAGGGATCTAGAACTAGAAATACCATTTGACCCAGCCATCCCATTACTGGGTATATATCCAAAGGATTATAAATCATGCTGCTATAAAGACACACGCACACGTATGTTTATTGTGGCACTATTCACAATAGCAAAGACCTGGAACCAACCTAAATGTCCAACAAGGATAGAGTGGATTAAGAAAATGTGGCACATATACACCATGGAATACTATGCAGCCATGGAATACTATGCAACCATAAAAAAGGATGAGTTCACGTCCTTCATAGGGACATGGATGAAGTTGGAAACCATCATTCTCAGCAAACTATCGCAAGGACAAAAAACCAAACATCGCATGTTCTCACTCATAGGTGGGAATTGAACAATGAGAACACTTGGACACAGGAAGGGGGACATCACACACTGGGGCCTGTTGTGGGGTGGGGGGAGGTGGGAGGGATAGCATTAGGAGATATACCTAATGTAAATGACGAGTTAATGTGTGCAGCACACCAACATGGCACATGTATACATATGTAACAAACCTGCATGTTGTGCACATGTACCCTAGAATTTAAAGTATAATAAAAAAGTAAAAAATATATCCATTGTTCAGTAGGTCAAGTGTTAAAGTTTTAATTCTTAGACACTTGTTGCCTCATTTGAACATCTTTAGTCAAAAATGTATGTTCCTAATTGCAGAATTATAGATTGAAGAATCGCTAGAGCATTAATATTCATTTCTGTAATCAATGATAGAAAACATTTCATTCACTGTGTTTGTTTTATAGATGAGATTTCTGCACCAGTTTGGTTTGAAGCCGATCCTAGACCTTTGCACAGGAATCCCATTGTCTCATAAGGAGTTAAAGTCTTGGAGAGAAAGACCACCCTGTCAAAACAAAACAACTGAAAGAGGCTCAGCATGACTATATTTTAATTTAGCATGCAAATAATTTGAGGAAGATTACCTTTATTTGTAGGTTATATGAGTTAAATTTCAGAATTATCATGTTTCAAAATAAAATTCAGTATTATAATTTTGAACTGATATGCCTCTACAAGTTGTAAATCTGTGGAAAGAAATGATTGTAAATTCGTCAATATTGTGTGCTTGTTTGTGCCCCATCATCATTGTCTCCCTCTTTCTCATCATCACAATAATAATAAAACATTTTAATAATGTTTACTGTTTTCTAGTCACTCTTCTAAAAACATTATTTATATTATTTCCTTTAAGTTTCATAGTCATACAAGGTCAGAACTATAAGAATCATACAAACTGTATACCAAGCTGAGGTGGTCTCAGATGGAGATGAGAATTTTTTTTGGAACTGGAGCAAAGGTGATTCTTGTTATGCTTTATCAAAGACACTGGCAGCATTTTGCCTCTGCCCTAGAGATCTTTGGAAATTTGAACTTGAGAGAGATAATTTAGGGTATCTAGCAGAAGAAAGTTCTAAGCAACAAAGAGTTCAAGAGGAAGAAAAGCATACAAGTTTGGAAAATTTGCAGGCTGATGATGCACTAGAAAAGAAAAACCCATTTTCTCAGGAAAAATTCAAGCCAAGCTTGCTGCAGAAATTTGCATAACAAGGAGTAGAATGTTATTCATCAAGACAATAGGGAAAATATGTCCAGGGCATGTCAGAGACCTTTGGGGTAGCCCGTCCCATCACAGACCCAGAGGCCAAGTAGGAAAAAGTGGTTTCAAAGGCAGGACCAAAGGCCCCCCAGCTTTGTGCAGCCTAGGGACTTGGTGCCCTGCATCCTAGCTGCTCCATTCATGGCTAAAAAGGGGCAACACAGAGCTCTGGCCATGGCTTCAGAGGATGCAAGCCCCAAGCCTTGGCAGCTTCCACATTGTGTTGAGCCTGCAGGTACATGAAAGTCAAGAATTGAAGTTTGGGAACCTCCGCCTAGATTTCAGAGGATGTATAGAAACTTCTGGATGTCTAGGCAGTGGTGTGTTTCAGGGGCAGAGTCCTCATGAAGAACCTCTGCTAGGCCAGTGCAGAAAGGAAACGTGGAGTTAGAGCCCCCACACAGAGTCCCCACTGGGCACAGCCTAGTAGAGCTGTGAGAAGAGGGCAATCATCCTCCAGACCCCAGAATGACAGATCCATTGACAGCTTGCATCATGTGCTGGGAAAAGTTGCAGACACTCAACACTAGCCTGTGAAAGCAGCCAGGAGGGGGCCTGTACCCTGCAAAACCACAGGGGCTGAGGTGCCCAAGGCCTTGGGAGCCTACCTCTTGCATCAGTGTGACCTGGATGTGAGACATGGATTCAAAGGATATCATCTCAAAACTTTAAGGTTCAATGACTGCCTTTTTGGATTTCAGAATTGCGTGGGGCCTGTAGCCCCTTTGTTTTGGCCAATTTCTTCCAGTTGGAAGGGATGTATTTACCTAATGCCTGTATCTCCATTGTATCTAGGAAGTAACTAACTTACTTTTGGTTTTACAAGCTTGTAGGTGCAAGGGACTTGCCTTGTCTTGGATGAGACTCTAAATTTGTATTTTTGGTTTAATGCCAGAATGAGTTAAGACTTTGGGGAACTGTTGGGAAGGCATGATTGTGTTTTGCAATGTGAGGACATGAAATTTGGGAGGCGGCAGGGGTGGAATGATATGCTTTGGCTGTGTCCCCATGCAAATCTCAACTTGAATTGTAGATTTCATAAGCTCCATGCATCATGAGAGGGACCTGGTGGGAGGTAATTGAATCATGGGTGTGGGTTTTTCCCATGTGGTTCTCGTGATAGTGAATAAATACCACAAGATCTGATAGTTTTATAAAGAACAGTTCCCCTACACGTGTTGTCTTGCCTGCCCAAATGTAAGACATGCCTTTGTTCCTCTTTCACCTTCCACCATGACTGTGAGGCCTCCTCAGCCATGTGGAACTGTGAGTTCATTAAAACTCTTTTTCTTTATAAATTACCCAGTCTTGGGTATGTCTTTATTAGCAGCATGAGAACAGACTAATACTGGAGTGGGAAGGTCAATCAGAAGAGAGTATGCCAAACAGAAAGACAAGTTATCAATCCAGTCCGAGGATTTAACTTGTAGCTTAGTTTTCAGGCTATAAACGGTGTTTGGCTTGGAGGTGGGGTTTCACTGGGGACCTGCACCTATCTGCCTAGGCATTAGGCTGTCTCTTGTTGCTATCACCAGTGAAGTAGTCAGGACAGCAATTATGCTCTCTAGATTAAGGATAAAAATGACCTAGCTCAGAGATAGTCAAGTGTTTTCCTTAACATTATGTAATAAGGAAGAGGTATAAATGGCATCCAGAATGGAAAACCTAAGTATAATTCCAGGCTTCTTTCAACTACATCATTATAAAATTAATAGGATAGAATGTATTTGAAGATGCATGAGGCATAACTCAAGACTTACTCAAATTCTTATGACCATTTCCTTTCTTATAAGGTAAAAATATTTAAGAAAAATATATTTTAATATTAAATCATATCTTGGAGGGTATGAGCAGAAATGCACACAGCTTTCGCAAAAGCCACCAATAAACTAATTGCATAGAGTATTGCGAAGGCTCAGCAGCAATTTTGAATGTGGTGAGCTTGATTCATCATCCATGCCCACCCCCATAAATAACTCCCACATAGTCTACTTTGCTGCATATTAATTTTTGTCCTGCTTTAAATGCCCATTTTTAAAAGTCATTAAACTAATAGGAGCATGTGCTGTGAAAACTCATAGTAAGCTAAACGCTAATACAGCTTTTGCTTACTTTCCTTTTTCTCTTAAACTTGAGTAAATTGAGAGGCAATATTAGTCATGTCTGTGGCCTTATTGTTCTTTTGTAATCTTCAGGCTTGAACTCTAGAATAATGATCTTAATCAATTCCCTGGGAGCCATGGAAGAAACTTTAAATGCCTCACCTAAAACTTAAGAATAAGGCAATGTTTCAATTATTTAGTTGTCATTAGGAGCAAATGAGGTCATATATATGAAACATCTCTAAAAGATGTAAAAAATGTTGACATATAAAACAATAAATTATCGTAAGTCATATAATACGTTTTTAATGTTAGGGCCTGCATATGTGGTTATCTTCCCCTTTTTTAGGATATATTTTTGTGTGTCTGTAATTAAAGAGTAGATAAAGAAGAAAGGCTGGAATGTTACAATAGGTTTGAGTGTTATTAGTTATCTTTTCCATAAAAATAGTAGTATGAAGTTTGTTTTATGTGATGTATTTTGAACCAACTTACTTATTTTTAATTTAGTTCTTCTTGGTGGTTTATTGTTCTTAATCACCTCCAGGATCAGAGACCTTCTGATCCTGAAACTGTATAAACTAACTGAGATGCCATTTAGGCAATTCCTGCTAAAGAGAATGAAAAATACATTTAGATTGATTTATGTACCCAGTGAAGGTAAATTGCCCTTACCAAATAAATATCTGATTCTTATGAACAATTACGTTACTATATAATTTCTAATCCATGCTACTATATTCTGACATCTTTCACTACTGAAATTTGACCTAATGTAGTGAATTATTTTAATCCTATGTTTCACTTGCTCTATGCACATTTGAAACTTATTTTCACAAGCTTCTTTTTGAAACTTTCACCTATTTGGCTTATACAAAATATGTTTTGTATAGTTTTTCTCATTTGCATATGAAAATTTCTTCTCAATCTTCATATCTGATTTTTCTCTTCTTTCCGTTTCTTTCTCTCTCTTTCTGTCTCTATGTCCTTTTCTCTGTCCCTGTCTCTCTCTGTCTCTGTATTTGGTTCTGTCTGTCTGTCTGTTTCTCTCTGCTCATTCTAAATTGACTCCCTTGATTATTTCATTTAGTCTCTGGTTTACTAGTTTTACTCTGAAGGGTCCTAAATTTATAGCTCCAGCCCGGGTCACTTTCTTGAGTTACAGACAAATATATAACTAAATACTGCACATTTTCTCTTAGCTTTCCCATAAATATGTGAAACTAAACTTACCAAAAATGAAACATACTTATTTTCATTATTTCTTATGTTAATTTATGATGCCATAAACTGTCCACTTGCCCAATCTAGAAATTAAATAAGCAACTTAGACACTCTTGTACTTCTTATCTCTTTTTTCAGATCTGTCATTAATTTTGATATATTCAACTTAATATAATTATTATTCCACTTCTGCAGTTTTTGATCTCATAAAATCTTGGATATTAGTATCTAATATAACAGTATCTAGCATTGTTATGTAAGTTCACATGGCCAGGGGTGCTTTACCAAATGATCTTCCTAACTGCAAACTTGGTATCTCACTAAATTGTAAATTGAGTTATTTTATTTCCATGCTTAAAATCATTCAGCAGTTTATTTTAACTACAAAATAAATCTTAAACTTCTAGAAGTGGAATAAAAAATTCCTTATGATTTGGTTCTCTTACCTTCCCAATCTTTACCTCATTGTTTTCTCTCACATCTTAAATTACAGCAGTATTTGATGACCTCTACTTTCAGACACACATTTTCCATCTGCCTGAAATGTGCCCTTCCCTTATTTATTCTATACACCTCAAGGTTCATTTAAAGTATCACTTCTAGAGGGGGGTCGTTCACTGTATACAGAGTTTAAAAAAGCTAACTTGATTAGTTAGTGTTATGAAATTTTTGACAAATAATTTACCCTCCTTCCCAGCTACATTAAAATTATGCTATATTTCAACAGGTGTTAGGTGCTTTCCATAGTTTAGTTTAAAATATATATATATATATATATATATATATATATATGTATGTATGTATGTATGTATATTAACTAGACGTTTGTAAGGTCTTTCTTCTCTCTTTCTCTTTCTCCTCTGTTTCTCGTGCTATACTTTGAATTGCACAATTTCTTTTTGATGTAAACATTTCATAAATAGAGCTTAGCAATCTAATTCAAGTTCATAATTTAGTTATTGTGAAAAATCTATTTACTAAGAATCAGTGAATGTGATGCATTGGAAAGGTTTTATAAATAAATTGTTTTTATTTCTTCTATCTTGGCAGGAAAGGTCCTCTTAACTAGTATTCAAAAGGCTCCTATTGTCTACCTGGTGTGCTTTTGCTTTTCAGTAATTTGAATATCTTTGTCTGAATTGTGAGAGATTTTAATCACCCTAAGCAAGTTGCAACTTTCAAGAATACAACGAGAAACTAGGTGGGGGAGATGAAAATGAGGAGATGAACCAAGAGTTGTGGAGAAAGAAGAAATAAAACAAATGTATGTTCTCTGTGGAGAACAGATAAGAAAAAAATTTAAAAAGATTTGCAAATATAAGACCACAAATAACATATAATAATAATAGAAATTAAATATGCACAGAGAAAAAAAGAAAAGTCATTGTTTTCTTAATCTATTTAAATTCTCAAAACACTATTTTAATGTATTTATCTGATTCCTGCCTCTTATACTCACATATGTTAACACAGGATAAAATGCTTTTAATTACAGAAGCATATATTAAATTAAATACAAATAATTTTGGGGAGGGAAATGACAAATTACTAGGGCAGGCTACCAAGAATGTTTACAGGCTAAAGATTTTTTTTTTGTCACAGTGATTAAAAATAGAAAACAATAGCAAGAAAAATAAAATGCATTGATCTTTCAAGACAGATTTCTAATGTATTTCTAGATTGCCTTTTATTCCTTATAACACAACAGTGCTATGATGAACAGCCTCAAACACACTCCCTTAGGGAGACATGTATGACTTTCTTTGATGTAAGAATTTGGAGTGATTGTACTATATTTAATTTGATTAAGTATTCACAGATTTGTCTTCAGACTGATTGCACCAAACTGAATCATCGCATCACTAGCAAAATTTGACACGTCACTGTTATTTATCTAGACCTATTCTAAGCGACATTTCTGTAACTAAACATGAACAAAATAATTATTTCTCATTCTTAAGCAACTAATCAAGTGAGTAAAAAATTATATCTTTTTGTTGCTGTGATTTTCATTTTTCTAGTTACTGATGAGTTTAAAGAACATTTAATAACTCATGTAATGAGTTTCCTGTTCTGTGAATTGCCAGTCTGTATGATTTGACTAATTTTCTATTGAGTTGCCTATCTTTACATTCCAGATATTAGTTCCTTATTGATTTAAGATGTAAATATATTCCCTTAAACTGTAAGTTGCCTGTTACCTGTCCATTTGTCTGCAGTTAAGTTTTTAAATTATAATGTAGTTAAATATTTTATTTCCTTTATGGTTTATGTGTTTGTGGCTTAATATAGGAAATTATTTTCCCTAGAACAAGGATTATTTAATATAATTATTGTTTATTTGATCTTTAACATTTATTACTTAGCATTTTTAATATTTATTATTAATTTTATCTTTAACAAATTCAGTACCAAGATGGATAAGTTATTTTACAGTAATAAAAACCTGATAATCTGGATGACTCAGCATACAGTAACAAGCCTATTTCTTGTTTACACTACATGTACAACATAGGTCAGAGAGGGGGCTCTGTCCATTGTAATTACTTAGAAATACTAGAATGATGGAAGTATTATCTCATTAGTAAGATAGAAAATGGCAAGTAGAAAATTAGCTTTTAAAGCCTATCTTGACATTTCATTACCCAAACCAAGTCACAAGACCATGCCTAAATTCAATGACTAGCAGAAGAGAGTGCAATCGTACCCACATGCCCTGAAGAAAAAAATTGGAATATTTGTGTCCAGATCACTCTTTGAATCTCTTATAATTAAATGTCTCATTCTCCTTTCTGAATGACAAATACACTAAGCATCTTCATAAGTGAGAAAATCTGAAAGTCTAATTTAGACATGGCATTCAGTTGAAAGTTGTATATTTCTAAGGAAGATATTAGAGTCTCTATAAAAAATAAATCTGATTTTTTTAATGCAAAGGTTTATGAAACAAAAACAAAAACAATCATGTTATCTACTTACCATATAGCCAATATACAGTTATACAGAAAGCATAAGACAATGGCAGTAAACTTCCTTTTGAGAGAGGGAGGGGTACTGGAGCAGTTACTGATCATCAAAATCTTGCAATTCCATTGTACAGAAGTCTTTAAAGACCTTCAACCCGGAGCTAGAAAAAACTTTTTTTAAATTAAGACCTGATTCTTATCTCTCAGTGTTTGTCCTTTATTTAATAAGCTCCATGGCACCTGGCTCCTTCTTTGAAATCCTTCCTTTTGAATAAGTTCTTTATATAAATCCAACATATTCTTTATAAATCTTATACTCTATTGGATGGGCATGTTTAATGGCCCAATCCCTGGTCATAGATGTTGAGTAGGCCCAAAGATCAATTTTTTTTTATAATAAGTGGGTTATAGCTGCTCTTGTCACACACACAAAGGTAACTATGTGAGATGATGAATATAGCAATTTGTAACCATTTTACTATCTATATGTATTCTATAACATCATTTTACATACCTTAAATATACACAACCAAATTTATTTTTTAAAAAACCCCTACAACAGAAATCAAAATTAAACAAGCAAAGTTTTATGCAGTCAGTCTTTCAGTTCAGGTTGGTGTTTGTTGTGACTTACAATGTTTCCCTGGGAATGTGACACCTTCATTCTGTCTTTTCCAAGGAAATCATGACTGTCACTGAAAACACAGACTGATGGAGAATTCTCTGTTTAGAATTCCATACAAATAACAGAATTGGCATTCAATTTCTACTGAATAATGGTGGGATTTTGAATTGGGATAGTATTGAATTTATAAATTAAACATATATAATAAACATTTAAATACAAATGACTCTTCCAATATGTTAATATAAGTATTTTTTCTAAAAACTTCATATTTATTAATATTTATCTTTGGTTCTCCTCTCTATTTCTGTATCTCTTCTCAATCCTTTTCTCTCCTTTTTTTGCCTTCTTTTAGATTATTTGACTATTTCTAAACTGTATTTAATTTATGTAATGACTTTTTAAAAATTTAACTATGCGCCTGTGGCACAGCCTCAGAAAGTCCTGATGCCCCTATAATGGCTTTTTAGATAAGTGCTTTGTTGCATCATTTTTATGTTTAATCTATTAAATATAATACACATGCTTTATTTTTTACCACTTAGATAGAATTAGGGTTCTGCCACTTCAAGGACAATATTAAAACGATATGGATATAGGTATATAAACCCCTCAAGTTTACCACACTTCATGCTGTAGTTTTTATATCTAATATATCTATATACAGTATGAAGTCTTCAACACAACAATATTTAGTATTTTAAAATAAGCTCAGAAAAAAAGTGTTTGTATATATACAGATATTTGCTGTTTCCAATATTTTTTATTCGTCCCTGAGCCTGAAGAGTTCAAATCTATTATTTCGGAGGGTGAAATTTTGCTGCTGATGAATTATGTCAGTTTTCTGTTTAAAACATTGTTAGGTTAATTTTGCCATGATTGAATGCTTACATTCTTTAGATAATTTGTTTCTTGCTGTTTTTCAAATACAAAAGTAAAGGAATATTTTGCATGAAAGCCCATGCAGCAGTCAATGTTAAAAATGTTTTGTTATTTTTGTGAGACGCATTTTTTAGTAGATTTGAATTTTAATTTTAAATGAGAAGCTACTCCACTATGCAATATTTACGAAATATACAAAATTTTTCAATATACAAAAATTTTTGAATACTTATATATTTTGAACATATTATTTGATGATTGGGTTTTCTTGGACTACTGTCCATATTTTCTTTCCTTCTGCTTTCAAAGACTAAAGTTAACACTTATGAAGTTGGGGATATTAGATATAAACCACATAATATTTTCCTTACAAAATATCATAAAATGTAAAAACAAAAAAACAGCAGATATACTTTATATTTTGTCTCCTAGAGAAGAGTTCTTCAAAATTAACCGAAAACTAACATCACAGCTTCTGAAAAGCACATTTACATCACTGCAAATTTTTAACGTATCAGTCATATTGTCTTCTTTACGTGCACATACATATAATGGTGGTTATATAAAACATGTTTAGTTTAAACTTTGGAAGTTAAGTCTTCTAAACTTAGCTATTCAAAGGAAATGACAGTAAAATCTGCATGAGATCCACAACCAAACAAGATTTTCAGAATTTCCTACTGTGTAGTAGATTCCCAGTTACCCTTAATTGGTTAGATAGCGGCACCCTTATGAATTTTTACTGCTTTCCAATCTTTTTATCTACATATCGATATACATAAATGTTGAAATATCCTTATCCACATCCATATCTTTTCAAGTCCACATATACCCAGTTTGCTTTCCCAGTCAGGCTCAAATCTTCCTGCTTCCTTGCAGATGTGAATTTCTGCTCTCAGAAATTTTTGGCAACTTCTGAAACTTCTGGAAGCTCAGGAAAGGACTTGTTTCAGTCATTTTAGAAATGTTTCAAGTTAGATGTATCACCATCACTGAGAACTTTTGACACTATGGGTAGTTTCAATGTTCTCTGAGGAGCATAGAACGCAGATCATAACTATCAATGCTTTTTTCAACATCATCTACTCTGTTCTTCATATTTCTTAGTCATCTTGTTCTATCAAAAACAAGCAGTTTCTTGACAACATTTTTTACATAGAAATCCATGTTTTAGCCATACTTATTATCTTCAGTGCAAAGATGTGCTTGACAAATTTTCTCTTTGACCAAGGGATTTTACTTTCATACCTGTGCGCATGGGGGCTAATGTGCAAAGTTCTGCAGTCAATATACTCTCAATGAAAATTTACATTTGTAAGATATTCCAGGGATGTTCCTTTCCTGAAGCAGTTGGCAAAAAGCTTTATTTTAAATGTTAATGTAGGTTAATACTCATATTTAATGCCAAAATTTTGAGCATCCTATCCATCACAAAAATTTCCCTTTCTTTAAATTATTTTAAAACTTTAGAAAATATTTGGTTTTGAGAATATATCATGATTTTCTTTCTGAAAAAATAAAGCAAACATATATATTCATATTTTTGAAGACAAACTATAGATATGGGGTCTTTGGGTTTAAACATGAAAAAGTGCAAATTATTTGTTAATCAAAATATTTATGCAATAATGGATTGACTATCTGAGAACATATTCTATGAAAAGCTTTTCAAATATTAAAATTGTTATAATAATCATTACCTTAGAGAAGACCAAAAAATCCTCTTTATATGTTTTTGTTTCTCTTAGAGTTTTGACAGAGTTCAATGTTATACTTTTTTTTTGTTAATATCTAAGAATTTAGCATTTTGGTTTACAGGGAAAATAATTCCTAATTCTTTAAAAATGCCAATTATATAGAAATCTCAGGACTGAGACAAAGAAGCGTATTATTAAAATTTATCATAGCATATGTATTTTTTCACTATATAAGTTTATTCAGTCTGACAAATTTTACAAGCACAAGCAAAATACAAATATATTCTCTTTTTATTTCCTCTGAAAAATTATTTTTTATTGCTGTTCTTAGATGCAAGGGATCAATCTCCTCTTTTATTCACCTAATACAAATGAGTGTTTATTCTTTGCTTTAGATAGATTTTGATAATGATTTGCAATAAAATAATTGCAGGCTTTTGGTTTTGTTTATTTTGTAGTAATTATTAAGTTGTTCTTGCCTCTATATTGTGTATACCAATTCTGGTTATAGTACAACGTCAAGGGTTTTTGTTTTTTTTTTTTTAGACAGAGTTTCGCTTTTGTCCCCCAGGCGGGTGTGCAATGGCGTGATATCAGCTCACTGCAACCTCTGCCTCCTGGGTTCAAGTGATTCTCCTGCCTCAGCCTCCCAAGTAGCTGAGCTGGGATTACAGGAATGCACCAACACGCCCGGCTAGTTTTTGTATTTTCAGTAGAGACAGGTTTTCGCCATGTTGGCCAGGCTGGTCTTGAACTCCTGACCTCAAGTGATCTGCCCGCCTCAGCCTCCCAAAGTGCTGGGATTACAGGCACGAGCCACTGCTCCTGGCAAGAGTTCTTGGTATTTGCTGAAAGAATTTATACACCAAGTCAGATTTAAAGAAAAAGAAAAAGCTTCTGTAGTATAATCTCAAACTTTAATGTAGACTGATTTACATCTGTGTTTCATTAAAATAGATTGATTTATATTTGTGGCTTCTAGTAAAAATGGAATATTTCTGATTTGAGGCTGTAACTATTATTGATTTTTTTCAATATGATTAATTATGAGATCAAATCTAATTCACAGTATTTTAACAATGTCTATTCAAAAGGGTTTTTATTGTTGCCATAACTTTTTTAACATAGCAATTTTCACAAATTTTATCCTAAGTAATTTAAATAACATGAAGTTTCACTTAATAAATAATCTATATTTTCAAGATTTTTTTGTATAAATAGTATTTTAGTGAAGGGTTATTTTTACAAAGTGTTTTACCACTGTACTTGAGGGATGGGTTATATTTTCCTATTTAACAACTACTTATGTTTCATTGATGTCTGTGATTGAAATAAAATAGAAAGGAAAATACTGGCAAAAGTGATAATATTAAGATTGACAGCTGGTGCTAGGAAAGCTAGTCACAGTTGGACCTAGAAGCCATCAACCAAAGTTACTGAATAAGAAAAAAAATGCTGCTAACATCAAACTGAACTACTTTCTGATTGTAGCCAATGTGCTGAAAAATGACTGGGTAAACCTATATTAATCTCCTACAGGTCTATATATCTCTTTTTGACTATCTGTATTTATCAAAAACACAAATTTATTATCTTTTAAAAAATAGTTATCAGACCACTTGGCATGAAATCTACCCTCTTAACAATACAGTAGTGTTAACAATAGGTACAGTGTTATGCAGCAAATCTGTAGAGTTCATTCATCTTTATAACTGACACTTTATACCCCTTGAACAGAAAGCCCCTGGTAATCACTAGTCTATTATCTAATATTATGAGGTTATTTCTGATACTTCATATAAATGGAATTATGTGGTATTTGTCTTTCTGTGATTATTTTCCATAATATCGTCCAGGTTCATCCATGTTATAGACATTCAAATACAATTAATATAGTCAGGTGTGGTGGCTCATGCCT
This sequence comes from Homo sapiens, assembly GCF_000001405.40. Lineage (NCBI taxonomy): Eukaryota > Metazoa > Chordata > Mammalia > Primates > Hominidae > Homo > Homo sapiens. The sequence goes on along the minus strand of NC_000003.12, from coordinate 166,602,740 downwards.
GTAATCACAGCACTTTGGAAGGTCGTGGCGGGTGGATCACTTGAGGTCAGGAGTTTGACATCAGCCTGGCCAACATGGTGAAACCCCGTCTCTACTAAAAATACAAAAATTATCCGTGCATGGTGGCGGGAGCCTGTAGTCCCTGCTACTTTTGAGACAGAGGGAGGAGAATCGCTTGAACCTAGGAGGCAGAGGTTGCAGTGAGCCGAGATAGCGCCATTGCACTCCAGTCTGGGCGACAGAGCAAAACTCTGTCAAAACAAAACAAAATGCAACAAACAAAACAAAAACAATGAATACTAAAAGACTTAAAAGAAAACAGTATTATCACTTTACCACTTGCATTTTCAGTCCTACTATGACAAGGGCCAACTTCTAATGATTTATTCTGATCTTCTTCTTGATATTTCTTGATAATATTTTTGTATAGTAATTATGTGATTGATCAATTTGAGATGAATATTTAACTTCTTTACCCGAAACAGTACACTCCTCTCTTCTAACTTACCAATTAGTTATAACATACTTTGTTTTTTCAGTGGCGCAATCAGGGATCACTGCAACCTCCTCTGTCTCTCCTCCAGAGCAGCTGGGACTACAGGCGCTCCACTACGACCGGTTAATTTGTATTTATTGATTTATTTTTTGCGGAGGTGGGCAGAGTTTAACTCTGTCGCCAGGCTGGAGTACAGTGGCTCAATCTCAGCTCACTGAAACCTCCACTTCCCCAGCTCAAGGGATTCTCCTGCCTCAGCCTCCCTAGTAGCTGGGATTACAGGCACTGGCCACTATGCCCAGCTAATTTTTGTATTTTTAGTAGAAAAAGGGGGTTTCACCATATTGGCCAGGCCAGTCTTGAACTCTTGGGCTCAAGCAATGTGCCTGCCTCGGCCTCCCAGACTGCTGGTATTTCAGGCATGAGCCACTGGGTCCAGACACAGCACACTTTCTGATCAAGTCAGCAATAACTTTTGCAGTATACTATCCAAGCACTGTAATGATTTGTTTTCCTTACTGCCATTTTTTTCCTTGTGTTTAATATTTTGGGTTTCTTTTTTGGTGTTAAAATTACCTAATTTTTCATCTTTAGTATTTCCTAAACACAAATGCTTATTCCATTAGTTCTGTCGTTAAGTAAATACGTTTTTGTTTGCTTGCTTTCCCTCAAAGTCTGATTTTCTATGATTATTGTCTGGAGCCTTTTCCCTCACTAAACTCCAGTTTCTCTCTTTCACTTTCCTCTGGTCACCCCCTTAGACTGCCTGAGATCATTTTTCACTTTTATCCCACTTTTGCGTTAGATGCAGTGGTCCAGGTATAATACAAATATTCTGAGTCTTCACTGGGGTGTTGGCTGCACGAATGTGTCCATCAGTCAGAATTCATTGCACTTTTCCCTGACATCCAAGCCACCTTTTCTCTTATTTCCACATTCTTGTGCAAATGGACATGTCTTCTAGTTACTTATGAATAAAAGGTACTGGGAATATTGAATATTTATCTTTTATATATAAGAAATTGATTTTATTGTGTTCTCATATGCAATGAATGTAGTGCTATATCTCATAGAAAAGAAGAGTTTCCTTATAACTGTACATTCTAGCATCTAGTATTGTTATTTAGAAGACAAGTGTCACCGTGATTTGTATTACATTTTATTTGTATTTCTTTGTATTCCTTTGAATATGTCTTTTCTCTTGAAGTTTTTAGGATGTTCTCTAGATGTTTTTTATTCATTCTTCTAGGTACATGGTTTATGCTTTCAAATGGAAAATTTCTATCCTTTATTTCTGGAATATTTTCTGGTGTGACTGTGATGGTTAATATTGTCAACTTGATTAGATTGAAGGAAGCAAAATATTGTTCCTGGGTGTGTCTGTAAGGGTGTTGACAAAGGAGATTAACATTTGAGTCAGTGGACTGGGAGTGCAGACCCTCAATCTGGGTGGGCAAAATCTAATCAGCTCCCAGCTCTGCTAGGATAAAAGCAGCAAAGGAACATGGGAGGACTAGATTGGCTAAGTCTTCTGGCCTCCATCTTTCTCCTGTGCTGCCTGCTTCCTGCCCTTAAATATTGGTCTCCAGGTTCTTTAGATTTTGGACTCTTGGACGTACACCAGTGGTTTACCAGGGGCTCTCGGGCATTTGGCCACAGACTGAAGGCTGCACTGTCAGCTTTCTTACTTTTGAAGGTTTTGGGACTTGGACTGATCCACCACTGGCTTCCTTGCTCCTCAACTTGCAGATGGCCTATCATGGGACTTTACCTTGTGATCATGTGAGTCAATTCTCTGTAATAAACTCCCTTTAATACATACATATATCCCACTAATTCTGTCCCTCTAGAGAACTCTAATCCAGTGACTTTTTGATAATTCCCTCCTCTTGTCAATGATCACTGTTCTTCATGCAGAGGTTGTATCTATAGGCAGACCTCATTTTATTGTGCTTATTTTATTGTGTTCCACAGATAGTGCACACAATTTTTAAGGCTATAAATGCCATAAGTACTGATTCCTCTAATAAATCTAGACAAAGTAAATTGAAAACCTTCAGATTCACTGTTATGAATAGATGCCATAAAGAACACTTCTGATTCAAGGGTGAAGGAGGTCAAAAAAGAAACATTAACATGAGTTCACAAGAAGTTGATTCCAATCCTTAGAGATGACTTTGAGAGGTTCAAAATTTCAGTGGAGAAAGTAATTGACAATATTGTAAAAATAGCAAGATAACTAAACTTAGAAGAGGAGCCTGAAGGTATGAATAAATTTGCTGCAATCTTATTATAAAATTCTAGTGGATTAGGAGGGGCATCTTGAGATGAAATCTACTCCTGGTGAAGATGCTATGAACATTAATGAAATGACAACAAAAACTTTAGAATGTTACATCAACTTAGTTGACAAAACAGCAGCAAGGTTTGAAAGGATTGACTCCAATTTTGAAAGAAGTTCTACTGTGGATAAAATACTATCAAATAGCATTACATGCTACAGAGAAACCATTTGTGAAAGGAAGAATAAATACATGTGACAAACTTTATTGTTGTCTCATTTTAAGAAATTGCCAGTCACTCCATCCTTCGGCAACCACCAACTTGATCATTCAGTGGTCATTAGTTGAGACAAGACGAGAGACAAGACAAAACCAGCAAAAACATTATTACTTGCTGAAGGCTCAGATGATCATTAGCATTTTTAGCAATAAAATATTTTATATAAAGGTATGTATGTTGTTTTGTAGACATAATGCTATTTCACATTTAATAGTCTAGAGTGTAAATATAACTTATATGCTGTGGGGAGCCAAAAATTCATATGACTTGCTTTGTTATGAAATTTTCTTTATTCTAGTGATCTGAAACTGAACCTGCAATTTCTCTAAGGTATGCCTGTATTTGAACATTTTTCTCTCACTGTCTTTCAATCTGGTTTCTAATCCTTTTGCCTAAAGTGTTTTGTTCTTTGACTATACATTATTTGGAAAATACTTCTCTTCTCTTAACGGATGCTATTCATGCAACATTTCTAACTAAAGATAGTAAATGTAGTCTTTGGTTTACTGATTTAAATATTCTCGCATACTTTAATTACCAGTGTTCTCCCGGACATCTTTATCTGCCTCCTTTGCTTTCTGATAATTCAACTAGAATCTTCCACAAGTGTAATATGGTTGTCTTTTCAGTGTAAAAATTAACTGCTAAGAAAAATGTTGAAATTTATCTGTTTCAAGTAAAAGACTTGTCTACTTTTGGTCTTTAAAGGAGGTCAAAGAGTGACCTGACATTTTTGTTGGGTGACATCCAAAGTATAGATACATGAAGATCTTGTATCTGGGGTAGTACAGATTTTTAAATGAAGAATGCTCCAAATTTCTGCTTAAGAAAATGTGCTGGGCTGAAGAAATTGAGGAAATAGAATTGGGTTCCAACAACTCAGTATACAGAATCATATAATTTCCTATTTTCTGTTCTTTGCCTCACTGCTACTCTTCATTAGAACTCTTGTCGTCTTTCTTGTTCAGTTTCGCATGTCTCTAAATCTGATACTTCTTGTCAGTTCATGTGAGGTCTTTCCAAATTTTTAAAAAATCTGTCATCTATAATGATGTATACCACAAATAGTTTTCCCTTGACTATATCTATTACAATAATATATGACCTTTATCTTAGTGGGATTTCAAGAGAAAAAAAATAAGCATGTGCTGTCAACATGCCAATAATTAGCTCAATATTTTTAGTAGGTAAACTACTTATTATTAGTAGGTAAACATTTAGCACTTCTTATTAGCTGATAAACTACTGTTTCAGAAGGGTCAGTATTCTTGATAATTTCCTGTAACCATTTGATTTGAGTAAACCTCATTCTTTCCTTTTCCTAAATATTTTATTTTTACTACTTGAAGAGATTATTTCAAAAAGCATTAAACTCCATGCTAATGGCACTTTAAAGTCTCTTTAATTTTGTTTCAATAAAACTGACTTAGTTATATAATGTAATTTATTATTTTAGATATAAATAATCCTTAATCATTAGATGATTTTCCAAATAGCATTTTAAGCATTATAATCAGAATTTGTTTGCATGTGTTTCATATGTTATTTATAAATGTATATGTACATACACTTATAAAATGTATATGAGTCTCTCTGCATGTGTGTACAACTATGTGTTGTCCTAGTGATAGTCAGAAAGTCTTAATAGAAGAGGCAGCATCTAGCTGGGTAGAAGAATGTATGCAGTAATATATCTATTAGGGGAGAAGGGAAGGGGAGTCTAATCAGAAGATACAAAAGAGTATACCAAAGAACTTAGTGATTTAAAAAAAAAAAAGATTTCCAGGTTTGGGACATCATGATAATTTCATTGTGACTTAATCTCATGGTGGACGAAATGAAAATGTGGATTTCATAGACATAGATGGTGGAAGTATGCTAAATAATATCAATTGTATTCTGAAAATAATACAGAAGTTACTAGAAGCTTTAAATATTGCAGTTTCAAAATTAGAATTATTTTCTATTCATTTATTTTTATTCATTCAACAGTTTCTTTTTGGTAATCTGCTATTAGTAGACTCTCTACTATGTGTTATATTTTCTCATAATGTGCTGATGATAGAAATGAACTCTTTCTGTTCTGATACAACTTCCTATATTGTAAGAAGTTTAATCTAGAGACATAAAGGAACATAAACCACATCAATGAGGAGGACTTTGTAAAAAGGGTATGGAAGTAGAACTGGAGGCTACAAGGATCAACTCATCTAAGATAAATTGAAGGACTGAACCAAGTTAAAGACAACAAGCATTTTAAGGACAATCTGTATTTGAAATACTCTGCTGAGGTATAATTAACAGAAGATTTTGATCATTTAACTATGAAAAAGAAGGCAGCCAAGGTAATTTGGAGTAATTGAGGTTTCTACCTTGGGGTCACTTTGTATGTGCAGACTAAAATCTTTGACTACTCTTTAAAGTTAACTTTATACAATTGTTAGGGCATTCTTATACAGGTTTTCAAAAACCAGTAACAATTTTTATACACTTTGGTCCAAATTTAAAATTACATCTTCATGTTTTGTATTATACTTTAAGTTCTGGGATACATGTGCAGAACGTGCAGGTTTGTTACATAGGTATATACACGTGCCACGGTGGTTTGCTGCACCCAGCAACCCGTCATCTACATTAGGTACTTCTCCAAATGCTATCCCTCCCCTAGTCCCCCATCCTGTAACAGGCCCAGTGTGTGATCTTCCCCTCCCTGTGTCCGTGTGTTCTCATTGATCAACTCCCATTTATGAGTGAGAACATGAAACAAACAACCCCATCAAAAAGTGGGCAAAGGATATGAACAGACACTTCTCAAAAGAAGACATTTATGTGGCCAAGAAACATATGAGAAAAAACTCATCATCACTTGTCATAGAGAAATGCAAATCAAACCACAGTGAGATACCATCTCATAACAGTTAAAATGGCGATCATTAACAAGTCAGGAAACAGCAGATGCTGGAGAGGGTGGGGAGAAATAGGAACACTTTAACATTGTTGGCGGAAGTGTAAATTAGTTCAACCATTGCGGAAGACAATGTGGCAATTCCTCAAGGATCTAGAACCAAAAATACCATTCGACCCAGCAATCCTATTACTGGGTACGTACTCAAAGGATTATAAATCATTCTACTATAAAGACACATGCACACGTATGTTTATTGCAGCACTATTCACAATAGCAAAGACTCAGGACCAACCCAAATGCCCATCAATGATAGACTGGATAAAGAAAATGTGGCACATATACACCATGGAATACTATGCAGCCATGAAAAAAGAATGAGTTCATGTCTTTTGCAGGGACATGGATGAAGCTGGAAATCATCAGTCTCAGCGAATTAACACAGGAACAGAAAAACTGACATCTTCATTTTTATAATTGCAAATGTGGGAGCCAATTTAATAATTTCTACAAGAATCCAGATTTTTCTGCTACAAGTGGCCAGGTTTATATGAGTGCTGAGTAGCGAAATAATTAAGCAAAATACAAAACAAGCCTTTCATTTTTCATGGAAGATTGATTTCTCAACTAGTATTCATTACATTTCTGAATTATTTTCAGGTGAAACAGTAGAGATAACTGTTCTAAAAATGTTTTTTTGACAGAAAAAGATGTAGAAATGACAATTAAAATGCCTAAATATTTTTAAGGAAATAGATGAGATGTAACAGAGTTCTCTGAATATATATCAGATATAAATACATCCTTCAAGTATTACAGAAGGTAAATTATTCAAGCTTTATATCAGAAATTTTATAGAGGATATTTTGATATTCATATGCTGAATTTCTCAGCAGAATCATTATTTTCAAACCATGAGCTAAAGGAAGCTTCAAAATTTGAACATAAAGGATATTAAAGATCATTGGCCCAATTCTTTAGTTTTGCATATGTTCTAAAACTTTGTAAAACTGAGCAGAATGATTGCCTAAGGAGAGATACCTCATTATTGCAAGGCTGTGAGTTGAGCTCATACCACCTGATTCTCTAGTCCTGAGCTTTAAATAATCCTGTATCTTAGTAAGCTTTCCAAAAATATTTCATAAAATTTCCACTCCAAACCAGATGATTTAATGTAAGAATGCAAGATATTTCATCTGTGAGCAACCAGTTTGACAAGGCTCATTAAGATGAAACTAGCTGAGAATATCTTCATCTTTTTGAAATTTGAGTACCTTTTTGTGACATCAAAGACAGTTCTAATTTACTCCTACAATATAGTTTCATATTTCTTCATACTAACTAAAGTAACTCTAATTTGCCAGTTCTAAAACTTTTTCTTAATGTTTTACTGATCACTCAATATTATTTGAAATTATCGATCAATTGTTTTATTTTTTTTTCCTCTTTCCACTTAGTATATTGTAAATTTTGTAAAATGCATGTGCCTTGTCTGCTCTGTTTGTTGCAGTAAACCCAAAACTTAAAATAGTGAATATAATTGGCACTTAATGTATCTCTTTCTACAAATGAATACCTTTGGTGGCTTAATGGATCTTCTTCCAGACTTATTCTAATCTAATTACTTAAATAGAAATTACTTTGATTCTAAAGCATGACTGTAAGTTGGATTAAAATATTAGTAAATTAAAAAGAAAATCTGAAAGTGCTAAAATACTAAAAATAGGAATACTAATACTAATATTAAAAACAATCTGATTTCTTACTCCAGGTTCAAGACATTGTGCTAATGCTGTATAGAGTAAGTACTAAGTAAATACTTGCTGAATAACATAATGTATTGTTAAAAATAATGCATGCTAGAAAGTTATTATTTCCTGGTCTTCTTTTGTAAAACACACAGACACTCTCAAATATAACTCAAAATCATTAGTTCCCTCGAAATAAAGGAACTGATGTTTTTAGGAAGCTGAACTACTAGAAATGTGTTTATCTGAAAGTAAACAGGTAAATTAATTACAGTAGCTTAAGCAATGTACTTTTATTTTGTTGGCATAATGAAACCTGGAGTTAATGCTTTTTGTTTTACATTTTATCAGTGTATTAAAAATGACATAACTAATATGTGTCATTTGCTAGGCCTTTTCCTCATGATCTCAAGTAGCTACCTTACTTCAAATCACCATACCTGCATTCAGTGAAGAAGAATGTGAAAGCAGGCAGGACCAAGGTCTGAGAGGGGTCACATATTTTCTATTGATAGCTAAAGAAAAGTCTCTAGAAGAAATTTCCTCAGTAATTTTTTGTCTTAAGTCACTTGACAATGTCTATTCACAAAAGAAGATAGTAAAATAAGGCATATGATTGTTATAGTTAATTTAGATAATTATATACCATTGCCTAAAACTGGTCATATTATTGCTTCAAAACAGAATCTGCTAGAGACTACAATTTCTCATCAATATAGATATATTAATCCTCAATATAATATTAACAAATCAAATCCAAAAACTCATAAAAGCAATTATACACCATGACCAAGTGGGATTCTCTAGGTCTGCAAGACTGGGAAAACAGTCAAAAATCAATTAATGTAATTAATCACATCAATAAGCTAAAGAAGAAAAATCAGATAATAAATACAGAAAAATACCTTTGACAATAGTTAACACTCATAATAAAAAACTATCAGCAAAATAGGAATAAAGGGAAACTTCATCAAATTGATGAACATATACAAAAATCCTACAGATAACATCATACTTGGTAATGAGAAGCTAGAAATTTTTCTACTAAGATCAGGAGCAAGGCAAGAATGTCACCACTCACCATTCCTTTTCGACATTATACTGGAACTCTTAGCTAATGTGATAAGACAAGAGAAGGAAATATAAGATATACAGACTCAGAAGGAAAAAATAAAACTGTCTTTGTTCACAAATTATAGGATTATTTTAGTAGAAAATCTAATCTACAATAGAATTTGTTGAACTAATAAATGATGATAGCAAGATTCCAGGATACAAAGTTAATATTAAAAAATCGATTACTGTCTTATACAACAGAAATTAACAAAGAATAAAATACATGGAGAGATTTCCATGCTTATAAATAGGAAGACTCAATATTGTTAAGATGTCAGAGGCGGGGTGCAGTGGCTCACGCCTGTAATCCCAGCACTCTGGGAGGCCGAGGTGGGCGGATCACGAGGTCAGGAGATTGAGACCATCCTGTCTAAGGCAGTGAAACCTTGTCTGTAGTAAAAAATACAAAAAATTAGCCGGGCGTGGTGGCGCGTGCCTGTAGTCCCAGCTACTTGGGAGGCTGAGGCAGGAGAATGGCGTGAACCCGGGAGGCGGAGCTTGCAGTGCACCGAGATCGCACCACTGCACTCCAGCCTGGGAGACAGAGCGAGACTCCGTCTCCAAAAAAAAAAAAAAACAAACAAACAAACAAACAAAAAAAACAGATGTCAGTTTGCTAAACACGATGTATAGATTCAATGCAATCGCAGTAAAATCCTAGCAAGTTATTGTGTGGATATCAACAAACTAAGTTTATGTGGAGATGCCAAAGACCAAGAATAGTCAATATTACAATACTGAAAGAGAAAAACAAAGTCAAATGACTGGCACTATGCAACTTCAGGATTTACTCTAAATCTACAGCAATCAAATCAGTGAGGTGTTGGTGAATGAATAAGCAAATAAATCAATGGAATAAAATAGATAGCTCAGAAATAGACCCACATAAATATGGTCAACTGATCACTGACAATGGTGAAAAGACAATTCAGTGGTGAAAGGATAGATTCTTCAACAAATGGTGCTGGAACAACTGGATGTCTACATGCCAAAAAAAAAAAAAACAAAAAACAAAACACTGAAAATATAAAAAAATGAATCCAGATAGAGACCTTTAACTTTTGCCAAAAAAAAACCTTAAAATGGATTATAGACCCAAACATAATAGGCAAAACTGTGAAACTTCTAGAAGATAACATAGGAGAAAATATAGATGACTATAGTTTGATACAATTCCAAAATAATTACCCTTAAAAGAAATAATTGATGACATGAACTACTTTAAAATTAAAAACTTTTGTTCCGTAAAAAACATTGTTAAGACAGTGAGCTGACAAGCAATGAACTGGGAGAAATATTTGCAAAATGCATCTGAAAATGACTGTTATCCAAAATATGCAAAAGCCTTTAAAATTCAACAATAAAATTAAATTATGGGCAAATTAATTTTAAAAAAATTAAAAATGGGCAAAGGATCTGAATACCTTACAATTTAAGACATACAAATGGCAAATAAGCATATCAAAATATTCAACATAATACATCATTACAAAATTGCAAATTAAAACCAGATACTTTACACACCAAACACTGAACACCAAATGTTTACAAGAATGTAGAACAATAATTTTCATTTATTGATGATGGGTTATACCATGCCTTAAAAAGATAATTTGGCCATTTATTGCAAAGCTAAACATATGCTTACCAAGAGATCCAGCAGTTACACTCCTTGGTATTTACCTACATAAGGTAAAAATGTATGCCCACACAAAAACCTGCATCTGATGTTTATAGCAGCTTTACCCATAATTAACAAAACTTGGAAGTAACCAAGATGTCTTTCAACAGATAACTGGATAAACTATAATATATCCTTACAATGAAATGTTTATTCAGCGTTAAGTTACAATGATCTTGTAAGCCATGAAAATATATGGAGGAAACTTAAATGCATTGCACTAAATGAGAGAAACGAATCTGAATATGCTACATACTGTGTGATTACATATATATGACATTCTGGAACAGGTAAAACTATGGAGACAGTAAAAAGATCAGTGGTTGTCAAAGGTATTTTGAAAGGGGAGGAAAATAGGAGGAGCACAGGGAATATTTAGGGCAGTGAAACTCTTCTGTATTATAATGGTGGATATATGTCATGTCTTTGTCAAAACCCATTGAATGTACAATACCAAGAGTGAACCCTAATGTAAACTATGGATTTAGAGTGCTAATGATGTGTCAATGTCATTTATTACTTATAACAAATGTGCTGGGGATGATAGACTAATGAATATGGTCCAGAGAGAGGAGATATGGCTCTAGATTGGTTAGTTTGCATACCAGAGATATACTCCCAGTTAGGCCTTTTGCTACTTTTAAGAATTGTCTAGCCACAGGAAGGCAGTCTTTTCCCAGACATAAAGATATTTTAAGATGTCAAAGCATTGTAAATATGCAGAAAATTAAAGAGTCTTTTAAATACAAATACCTCTTGAATAGGCCTTACGTTTTAGCAACACTCTACCAGTGGGGTTTAAGTTACATCATAAAGTGAACCATATGTATGACTATTGATAATAATTGAATTTTTTAGCTGGAGTATTATAGATCCTTATTCAATTTAAAATGTAAATACATAGCATTAACTTTACTTTTTTTCTCCTACTTTTATTTCTAATTCAACGTAAGTTTCTACTTCTTTGGATGCATTATGCCCTGAAGTAGTTCTTAGTCACATATCATAACAATTCAAAAAGACTGTGGCTAGCAGCATTTAAGTCCAACAAATAACTTGTTCTGAGTTTCAAGGTGGTTAATAAATTTTGTATCTGAGAAAATCATTGAATTTCATTTCTAACACTTTAAACATAAATCAAAATAAGGTTGGATTAAAGTCCGTATAAATCACAGCAGAGCCTGAAATGATATATACTATATATGTCAGTGCTAGCATTTCTGTCAGAAATCTCTTTAAGTATCAGAAAAATCTATTTTGAGGATGCTGTGTATACTGCAGAAGAAAATTTATAATCCTTTTTTTATTGAATGCTGAATGCTTTATGTATCAATAAGCTACCTGCCATGACGAAGTTGAAAAAGCTTAGTAATAGACTAGTATGTGATAAGACATGAGATTAAGATTATTTATAACTTTTAATATACATAGTGTTGATTGAGATCATTAATTCTCCATAATTTTGTGTCAATATATACGATTTGTTACTTAAAATTATCAATATTTGGTTTAGATCTTTACTTATTTTACTTTTAACACCCATGTTGATCAATATATTTCAAGCTATAGATACTAGCTTTTTCATCACAGTTCCTAGGGATAGTTGTGCTGTTTCACACAAATAATTGAATTCAATTCAATTCACTATTCATTCATTATTCAACAATTATTTGTAAGCATTATGATATGCCAGCACTGGTCCACAAACTAGAATCAAAGCAGTGCTCACAATAGTCAAAAAATTCTTTTTTAAATTATACTTTAAGTTCTGGGGTACATGTGCAGAACGTACAGTTTTGTTACATACGTATACACGTGCCATGGTGTTTTGCTGCACCCATCAACCCCTCATCTACGTTAGGTATTTCTCCTAATGTTATCCCTCCCACAGCCCCCAACCCCCCAACAGTCCCTGGTGTGTGATGTTCCCCTCCCTATGTCCATGTGTTCTCATTGTTCAACTCCCACTTATGAGTGAGAACATGCGGTGTTCGGTTTTTTGTTTTTTGTTTTTGTTTTTTTTTTGAGACGGAGTCTTGCTCTTTCGCCCAGGTGGGACTGCAGTGGCGCTATCTGGGCTCAACTGCAAGCTCCGCCTCCCAGGTTCACGCCATTCTCATGCCTCAGCCTCCTGAGTAGCTGGGACTACAGGCGCTCGCCACCACACCCGGCTAATTTTTTGTATTTTTATTAGAGATGGGGTTTCACCGTGGTCTCCATCTCCTGACCTCGTGATCCGCCCGCCTCGGCCTCCCAAAGTGCTGGGATTACAGGCGTGAGCCACCGCGCCCGGCCCCCTTAATACTTTTTTTTTAGATTTCTTTATCTTAACCTGATGTCCCTTTTCTGTCCTAAGATCTCATCCAGGATACCACATCACATTTAATCATCAGGTTTCCTCAGGTTTCTCTTGGTTTGACTGTAGGATATTCCTTACTTTGATGACCTTGATAGTTCTGAGAGGTCCGGGTCAGAAATTTTATAGAATGCTCCTTAATTAAGATTTGTCTGATGTTTTTCTCATGATTAGACCAGATTATGGGTTTTTGAAGAAAGTTCAGAGGTCAAGTGATATTTTCATATAAAGGGTACATACTATCAACATAACTAATCCCAGTATATATTAACCTTGATCACTTGGCTGAAGTGGTGTTTGTCAGGTTTCTCTATGTAAAGGTAGCAGTTTTCCCTGCTTTGTCTATTGAACTTTTAGAGAGAAGTCACAATGAGATGCCCATGCTTGAGATGTAAATCTTCTTGCATACAAATTATCTGCAAGAATTGTTTGGATTTTTTCTGCGGGAATAATTTGTTTATTCTTCCCTGTTTATTTATTCAGTCATTTGTATCTGTATGGACTCACAAATATCTGTTTTATAATTTAAATTAAAATCCAATATTACTTTATTTTACTCAAAATTTTCCAGCATTGGCTATTGGAAGCTCTTTTAGTAGGCTTCTGCATTCCTTTGACATATCCCCAGATATGTATTTGTGAATGTGTGTTTGTTTTTGATGGTACTTTTGTTATCATTTGTTTGGTTTTAATGTGTCCCAACTTTCTGTCACTGTAAGAATGAATATGCTCCAAGCTCACATTTTATAATTTCTCAGCTAAGCCTAGCATCAGCCATTTCTCCAAAAAGCCCTAGTTCCTTTATGTGAAATGTAGTATTAGAAGCCAATATCTAGAAACTAGGTATGTTTCTTGTTACTGGAGTGCCATTTCTTCTAGGCCTGTTAACTAAGAGTAAGGTAATATATGTGTATAGGTATAAATGTTTCCATATGGATTCATATACAGCTGTATTAAAACAACATGAGGTCATACTGGTGTTTTCAAATCTAAACCATTACCACATGGAACAATTGGCCTTCTCTCTTTGCTTATCAGTAACCTTCCCGACCTGTGCTAAGAAAAGGGAAAAAGGCAAACGTTCCATGTGGTAATGGTTTACATAATCTTATAATTAGATGGGCTTATGTGCCTGAGTTGTTATGTTCGCTTATGTTTACTTATGTTTCTTAGCTTTATTTTCCCCCTTACCTGAGACAGGAATGCTTTATTAGACTGCAGTACTAGAAATGCCCTTGTCCCCAGTGAGATAGGGCTTTGGTAATGCCTTTCACCTGTAGAGCGAGCCTTTCTTTTGGGAATACTCTGGGAGTATTCCACTCCTGCCAGAGTCACACAGAATGGGGTATTTTCAACTCTTCATTGTCAGAACCTAATGAAGTTCCTGGAAATAAAGCCCACAAATATGTGGGGGCCCTCTCTTAAGACTGTAGGTTTTAGGAGTTTCCCATTCTCAAGTTTGTCCAAAACCTCATTAATATTACTATTTAATTGACCTTTCCTCCAGTTAAATACATTTTAGCTTGACTCTCTGATTCACCTGTCTTTCAAGATTTTGCAATGGTGGTTTGTTCAAGACCTGTTTTCTGATGGTTCCGGTGTAAGTTATTTTTAAGTGTCCAACTTAAAGAAGTGATGATTTCCAAGTTTGTTACATTTTGAACTAAAAATAAACTTGAATGTTATTTTAAAGACTGCTGTGTAGAAAACAGATTATAAGAAGGCTGCTGTGAAAGCAAGGGTGAGAAGATGATGCTGCACTGATCATCTGCACTAATCACAGATAATGGTGTTTTGGCCAAAGTGATAGTGAAAGAAGTGTGAGAGAAGCCAGAATATATTCCAGCTATATTTCAAAGAAAGGCTCAAAAGGTTAGCATGTGAGTAAGAGAGAAAAAGATGAGAGAGAAAAAAAAAAGATTGATAGATACTGGTCAAAGATGACACCAAAATTTTTAATCTGAGCAACAAAACCATGTAGCAACAATTTCTCATTAGGGAAAGATAAAAGGAACTAAGCTTGGCCAAAAGAGAAGGGCAATATGAGGCCAGAAAAAGGCAAGAAAATCAGAAAATAATTATTAAAATGGAATCTACTCTCAAGGAAATGACAAAAATAAAGGGCATTACCAGGAATGATAAGATCATTATGTGGGAGTATGAAGGGAGATTTGAAAATAGAAATTATTAGAATTCAGTTTAAGAATTAAAAATTCTTCTCCTGACAGGATTAATTTCATTATAACATCAATCTATGGCTGGAGAAATGTAAAATAATAAAATATGAATAGAGAAATGATTTAGAAACTAAAGTCATCTTCTCACTAGTCTTTAGTTCAGCAAATTATCAAGGCATATTTTCTCTTTGGATCCTTCTAAAGTTATAAATGGTTTATTTTTTATTTTTTTATTTTTTTAAATCTTCTTACTACACCCTTGTTATGTGAAATACTACTTGGAAATTTCATGTTTCTTTTTCTATCCGCCAAATACTAATTATATTGCCATAATGCTAGTTTGTATTCCATTTAATTTGCATAGGTAACAATTGATGCTTAGACAAAATATTAGTTACATATTTAAATATAGAATTTTGTAAATTATCTTCCAAGATGCAAGTTGAAGCATTTATATTATTTTTAAAGCTTTGCTATAATATATTTATATTTTGTATTATTTAACATGTATCTCTTTAAAACTAAGTTCTCTGTTTCATGTTCTAAGTATTTTCTCTCATATTCAGTATGGCTTCTTTGGTTGAAAATATAGGAACACATTTGGATTAACTTAGTTAAAAGCCTAGTTACAAGGAAAAATAGGAAAAAATAGCCCGGAACAGAAAGACCTCAGGATTGAACTGGAACTCGTGACTTGAGTGCTGGGCTCTTCTCTCTTCCTTTCATCCTCCTGGTCTCACTTTTCTCTGTTCCTCTCATAAATCGCATGTACTCTTTGTAAGGTGTTTTCATTCCTCCAAATCTCATGATAAAACAGATCAATTAACATGACCAAGCCTCACACTTCTGTGTGTAAAACTAGCCACAGAGAAACTATAATCCTTTAACCCCATTCCAGAATCTCTAGAAGGAATTTCACTTAGTCCAGTTTGGGTAAAAATTTAATCTTAAAGCAATCAACTGTCACACAACCTGAGGACCTTTTATTTAAGCAGCACTAATCTCTCTTTAACCATGGCCTTGGGTAGAAGTAATGGAAAGAATTATTTTTAAAATGATTTGGGTGATGGCAGGGATAAATGCGTGGAATAGTTGGAGCTAACAAAAGTTTCATTGTGATATTCCTTTTTAGGTAAAATGAAAATTAAGACAAAATTTTATTAAAACTAAAGCAGTGTTTTCAAATTTTTACAAACACCGATACAAATTACTGTATTTTTGAGATGAGGCAGAAGAAGTGCATGCCTATTTCTAATTGATCAGGCGCAGACCACAAGAGACAACATGGACAAGTGCGTGTGTACTGACTTCTTAAAAGAAGCTTTTCCCTGAAAGCCACCTGGAGGGGCACTGCTACTCAGACAGAAAGAGCCTGTGTGGAGTGGACTATTGTGTTGGTAGAGGTTGAACCCAGAAGTCACAAATAACACATAAAAATATTGCAGTGTGAAAATATCTGGAAATGACTAATACTTCTCTCTTAAATTGTGGTGCTTCTTATGGACACTTTTTTTTTTCTTTTTTTGAGATGGAGTCTTGCTCTGTTGCCCAGCCTGGAGTGCAGTGGTGCGATCTCGGCCCACGGCAACCTCTGCCTCCCAGGTTCAAGCAGTTATCCTGCCTCTGCCTCCTGAGTATCGGGGCTACAGGCACGCAACATCACGTCCAGCTTTTTTTTTTTTTTTTTTTCAGTAGAGCTGGGGTTTCACCATGTTGGTCAGGCTGGTCTCAAATTCCTGACCTCAAATGATCTGCCCGCCTCGGCTTCGCAAATTGCTGGGATTACAGGTGTGAGCCACCATGCCCAACCTGGACACTTCTTAAGTATTACATTGTAACACTGTGTGTGTGTGTGTGTGTGTGTGTGTGTGTGTGTGTGTGTGTGGTATCTTTAAACAACAGAACTCATGCATTAGCCTAGATAAACATTAGAACTCATACATCCATCCCTCCATCTACTCTGTCACTCAAAAGAATCAGCTTACATTTCTTTGGGAGGGGAAGAAACTTGGGTTTAGAGATATGTTTCTTTTTAAATCTTGCAATTTTAGCATGATAATTATTTGACTTTTGGTATGGTACTCAACTTCTTTATATCTTACTATTCTCATCTATAAGAAAGGAATAAGTGATATCATTTTAGGAGATATGTTTTTAGAATTAAATAAGATAATGTTTTCGGAGTTCCTGGCACTCAATATGTGACCAATGAAAAGTAGCTGTTGTGATCAATTTTATCATTAATCATTACCTTCTTTATCATTATGATTATTTATTAAGTAACCACTATGAAACAGGAGTTATAAAGACATAGGAATATAATGATGAATTATTTTCTTACATTAAGTTGTTGAGGAAGACACCTGTTTTCTAACTAATAACCAATAATAGATCTGAACTACAGAATTCTTATGTATGACTCCCTTATAAGTAACGTTGAGTTTAGGTTGCTATTTATATATATAAAAAAATTTTAGAACAAATGCTAACAGTTGGTGATGTGCCCAGATTCAGCAGTCTTCTATTACCAGCTCTCAGCTTCACAAATTGGCATCTTTGCTAATTTGATCTATGCCCTTAACCTTTTCCCCTTTAGTCCACAGAACACTCTAAATGTTTAAACAAAGTTTTCACACCAAGCACTAAAGTTACAAGTGAACAAAGGTGTATTTATCATATTTTGAGAATGCTTCGTGTATTATGGAAGTTTTAAAATGTTTCTTTGCCTGGGGTCCAAGCAACTGTTTCTACCATTTGGCTTTTCAGTTCCATTGCAGTAACATACTGTAAGCAGTTTTAAAATGTAATTATCTATACTTAGATTCTTGGAAGGCACTTGTTTTCTGCTTTTATAATAACCTATCTGTAATGAACCATGTCTTGTAGTTATGAAATGGCATCAACCCCTGGAGTTACATTGGCATTCTCTCTCTGTCTGCCAGCACAAAGCAATGTAAGAAATAAGAAGGCAAAACAGAACACCAGAAAAAGCCAAAATATTATTACTGTAAAGGCTTCTCACCACAGCTCTCAGGATGGAACACAATTGGATATAATAATAATAATAACATAATGTTATAAATCCTTACATTCTCTAATAAGCTAATTAACTTAGAAGTTAATGTACAGTATTTCCTTTCTTGCAATTATAACAACACATCAGGAATAGGTAGCTTTAACTAGATTAGAAAAGAAAAAAGAGCGAGAGAAGAACTAAATAAGGACAAAGAGAAATGACAATGATGACACTACCACTGATCTCACAGAAATAAAAAAGATCCTCGGAGACTATTATGAACACCTCTATGCACACAAATTAGAAAATCTAGAGGAAATGG